>NC_000020.11:26442998-26586955 GCF_000001405.40 Homo sapiens | reverse complement strand
TCTGTCTAGTTTTTATGGGAAGATATGTCCTTTTTCACCTTAGGACGGAGAGCGCTCCAAAGGTCCACTTACACACACTACAAAAAGAGTGTTTTACACCTGCTCTGTGAAAGGGAATGTTCAATTCTGTGACTTGAATGCCAACATCACAAAGAAGTTTCTGAGAATGCTGCTGTCTGCTTTTTATACGTAATCCCGTTTCCAACGAAATCCTCAAATCTAGCCAAATACCCACTTGCAGACGCCACAAAAAGAGTGTTTCAAAACTGTTCTGTCTAAAGAAATGTTCAACTCTGTTAGTTGAAGTCACACATGAGAGACTAGCTTCTGATAATGCTTCTCTCCACTTGTTACGGGAAGATATTTCCTTTTTCAACATACGCCTGAAACCGCTCCAAATGTCCACTTCCACATACTACAAAAAGAGTGTTTCAAACCTTCTCTACGAAAGGGCATGTTCTCCTCTGTGACTTGAATGCAAACATCCCAAAGAAGTTTCTGAGAATGCTTCTGTCCGGATTTTATCTGAAGAAAATCCCGTTTCCAACGAAATCCTTAAACTATGCAAATACCCTCCTGCAGATTCTACAAAAAGAGTGTTTCAAAACTGCTCTATGAAAAGAAAGGTTCAACTCTGTTAGTAGAGGGCACACATCACAAACAAGTTGCTGAGAATGCTTCTGTCTAGTTTTTATGGGAAGATATTTCCTTTTTCAACACAAGCCTGAATGCGATCCAAATGGACACTTCCAGTTACGACAAAAGGAGAGTTTCAAACCTGTTCTATGAAAGGGAACGTTCCATTCTGTGACTTGAATGAAAACATCACCAAGAAGTTTCTGAGAACGCTGCTGTCTGCTTTTTATATGTATTCCCGTTTCCTACGAAATCGTCAAAGCCAGCCAAATATCCACTTGCAGGTTCCACAGAAAGAGTGTTTCAGAACTGCTCTCTCAAAAGACATGTTCAACTCTGTCAGTTGAGGACACACATCACAAAGAAGTTTCTGAGAATGCTTCTGTCTAGTTTTTATGGGAAGATATTTCCTTTTTCACCATAGGCCTCAAAGCGCTCCAAATGTCCACTTCCAGGGAATGGAAAAAGAGTGTTTCCAACCTGCTCTATGAAAGCCAATGTTCAACTCCGTGACTTGAATGCAACCATCACAAGGAAGTTTCTGAGAATGCTTCTGTCTAGATTTTATATGAAGATATTCCCGTTTCCAACGAAATCCTCAAAGCTATCCAAATATCCACTTGCAGATCCTACAAAAAGAGTGTTTCAAAACTGCTCTATCAAAAGAAAGCTTCTACTCCATTAGTTCAGGTCACATATCACGAGTAAGTTTCTGAGAATGCTTCTGTCTAGTTTTTATGGGAAGATATGTCCTTTTTCACCTTAGGCCGGAAAGCGCTCCAAAAGTCCAGTTACAGACACTACAAAAAGAGTGTTTCAAACCTGCTCTGTGAAAGGGAATGTTAAATTCTGTGACTTGAATGCAAACATCACAAAGAAATTGCTGAGAATGCTGCTGTCGGCTTTTTATACGTAATCCCGTTTCCAACGAAATCCTAAAAATCTAGCCAAATATCCACTTGCAGACTCCACAAAAAGAGTGTTTCAAAACTGTTCTGTCTAAAGAAATGTTCAACTCTGTTAGTTGAGGACACACATCAGAGACTAGCTTCTGAGAATGCTTCTGTCCAGTTGTTACGGGAAGATATTTGCTTTTTCAACATAGTCCTGAAACCGCTCCAAATGTCCACTTCCAGATACTACAAAAACAGTGTTTGAAAACTTCTCTACGAAAAGGCATGCTCTCCTCTGTGACGTGAATGCAAACATCCCAAAAAAGTTTCTGAGAGTGCTTCTGTCTGGATTTTATCTGAAGACAATCCCGTTTCCAACGAAATCCTCAAAGATATGCAAATATGCTCCTGCAGATTCTACAAAAAGAGTGTTTCAAAACTGCTCTATGAATAGAAAGGTTCGACTCTGTTAGTAGAGGGCACACATCACAAACAAGTTGCCGAGAATGCTTCTCTCTAGTTTTTATGGGAAGATATTTCCTTTTTCAACACAAGCCTGAATGCGATCCAAATGGACACTTCCAGTTACGACAAAAGGACAGATTCAAACCTGTTCTATGAAAGGGAACGTTCCATTCTGTGACTTGAATGAAAACATCACCAAGAAGTTTCTGAGAACGCTGCTGTGTGCTTTTTATATGTATTCCCGTTTCCAACGAAATCCTCAAAGCCAGCCAAATATCCACTTGCAGATTCCACAAAAAGAGTGTTTCAAAACTCCTCTCTCAAAAGAAATGTTCAACTCTGTCAGTTGAGGACACACATCACAAATAAGTTTCTGAGAATGCTTCTGTCTAGTTTTTATGGGAAGATATTTCCTTTTTCACCATAGGCCTCAAAGCGCTCCAAATGTCCACTTCCAGGGAATGGAAAAAGAGTGTTTCCAACCTACTGTATGAAAGCCAATGTTCAACTCCGTGACTTGAATGCAACCATCACAAGGAAGTTTCTGAGAATGCTTCTGTCTAGGTTTTATATGAAGATATTCCCGTTTCCAACGAAATCCTCAAAGCTACCCAAATATCCACTTGGAGATTCTACAAAAAGAGTGTTTCAAAACTGCTCTATCAAAAGAAAGGTTCTACTCCGTCAGTTGAGGACACACATCACGAGTAAGTTTCTGACAATGCTTCTGTCTGGTTTTTATGGGAAGATATGTCCTTTTTCACCTTAGGCCGGAAAGCGCTCCAAAAGTCCAGTTACAGACACTACAAAAAGAGTGTTTCAAACCTGCTCTGTGAAAGGGAATGTTCAATTCTGTGACTTGAATGCAAACATCACAAAGAAGTTGCTGAGAATGCTGCTGTCTGCTTTTTATACCTTATCCCGTTTCCAACGAAATCCTCAAATCTAGCCAAATATCCACTTGCAGACTCCACAAAAACAGTGTTTCAAAACTGTACTGTCAAAAGAAATGTTCTACTCTGTTAGTTGAGGACACACGTCAGAGACTAGCTTCTGAGAATGCTTCTGTCCAGTTGTTACGGGAAGATATTTCCTTTTTCAACATAGGCCTGAAACCGCTTCAAATGTCCACTTCCAGATACTGCAAAGAGAGTGTTTCAAACCTTCTCTACGAAAGGGCATGTTCTCCTCAGTGACGTCAATGCAAACATCCCAAAGAAGTTTCTGAGAATGCTTCTGTCTGGATTTTATCTGAAGACAATCCCGTTTCCAACGAAATCCTCAAAGCTATGCAAATATGCTCCTGCAGATTCTACAAAAAGAGTGTTTCAAAACTGCTCTATGAATAGAAAGGTTCGACTCTGTTAGTAGAGGGCACACATCACAAACAAGTTGCCGAGAAGGCTTCTGTCTGATTTTTTTGGGAAGATATTTCCTTTTCCAACACAAGCCTGAATGCGCTCCAAATGGACACTTCCAGATACGACAAAAGGAGTGTTTCAAACCTGTTCTGTGAAAGGGAACGTTCCATTCTGTGACTTGAATGCAAACATCACCAAGTAGTTTCTCAGAACGCAGCTGTCTGCTTTTTATATGTATTCCCGTTTCCAACGAAATCGTCAAAGACAGCCAAATATCCACTTGCATGTTCCACAAAAAGAGTGTTTCAAACGGCTCTCTCAAAAGACATGTTCAACTCTGTCAGTTGAGGACACACATCACAAAGAAGTTTCTGAGAATGCTTCTGTCTAGTTTTTATGGGAAGATATTTCCTTTTTCACCATAGGCCTCAAAGCGCTCCACATGTCCACTTCCAGGGAATGGAAAAAGAGTGTTTCCAACCTGCTCTATGAAAGCCAATGTTCAACTCCGTGACTTGAATGCAACCATCACAAGGAAGTTTCTGAGAATGCTTCTGTCTAGGTTTTATATGAAGATATTCCCGTTTCCAACGAAATCCTCAAAGCTATCCAAATATCCACTTGGAGATTCTACAAAAAGAGTGTTTCAAAACTGCTCTATCAAAAGAAAGGTTCTACTCCGTCAGTTGAGGACACACATCACGAGTAAGTTTCTGACAATGCTTCTGTCTAGTTTTTATGGGAAGATATGTCCTTTTTCACCTTAGTCCGGAAAGCGCTCCAAAAGTCTAGTTACAGACACTACAAAAAGAGTGTTTCAAAGCTGCTCTGTGAAAGAGAATGTTCAATTCTGTGACTTGAATGCAAACATCACAAAGAAGTTTCTGAGAATGCTGCTGTCTGCTTTTTATACCTTATCCCGTTTCCAACGAAATCCTCAAATCCAGCCAAATATCCACTTGCAGACTCCACAAAAAGAGTGTTTCAAAACTATACTCTCCAAAGAAATGTTCAACTCTGTTAGTTGAGGACACACATCAGAGACTAGCTTCTGAGAATGCTTCTGTCCAGTTGTTACGGGAAGATATTTCCTTTTTCAACATAGGCCTGAAACCGCTTCAAATGTCCACTTCCAGATACTGCAAAGAGAGTGTTTCAAACCTTCTCTACGAAAGGGCATGTTCTCCTCAGTGACGTCAATGCAAACATCCCAAAGAAGTTTCTGAGAATGCTTCTGTCTGGATTTTATCTGAAGACAATCCCGTTTCCAACGAAATCCTCAAAGCTATGCAAATATGCTCCTGCAGATTCTACAAAAAGAGTGTTTCAAAACTGCTCTATGAATAGAAAGGTTCGACTCTGTTAGTAGAGGGCACACATCACAAACAAGTTGCCGAGAAGGCTTCTGTCTGATTTTTTTGGGAAGATATTTCCTTTTCCAACACAAGCCTGAATGCGCTCCAAATGGACACTTCCAGATACGACAAAAGGAGTGTTTCAAACCTGTTCTGTGAAAGGGAACGTTCCATTCTGTGACTTGAATGCAAACATCACCAAGTAGTTTCTCAGAACGCAGCTGTCTGCTTTTTATATGTATTCCCGTTTCCAACGAAATCCTCAAAGCCAGCCAAATATCCACTTGCAGATTCCACAAAAAGAGTGTTTCAAAACTGCTCTCTCAAAAGAAATGTTCAACTCTGTCAGTTGAGGACACACATCACAAATAAGTTTCTGAGAATGCTTCTGTCTAGTTTTTATGGGAAGATGTTTCCTTTTTCACCATAGGCCTCAAAGCGCTCCAAATGTCCACTTCCAGGGAATGGAAAAAGAGTGTTTCCAACCTGCTCTATGAAAGCCAATGTTCAACTCCGTGACTTGAATGCAACCATCACAAGGAAGTTTGCTGAGAATGCTTCTGTCTAGATTTTTTATGAAGACATTACCGTTTCCAACGAAATCCTCAAAGCTAGCCAAATATCCACTTGGAGATTCCACAAAAAGAGTGCTTCAAAACTGCTGTGTCAAAAGAAATGTTCAAGCCTGTTATGTGAGGACACACATCACTAATAAGTTTCTGAGAGTGCTTCTGTCTAGTTTTTATGGGAAGATATTTACTTTGTCACCATAGGCTTGAAAGAGCTCCAAATGTCCACTTCCAGATAGTAGAAAAAGAGTGTTTCATGCCTGCTCTATGAAAAGGAATGTTCAACTCTGTGACTTGAATGCAAACATCGCAAAGAAATTTCTGAGAATGCTTCTGTCTAGATTTCATGTGAAGATATTCCCGTTTCCAACGAAATCCTCAAAGCTATCCAAATGTCCACTTGCAGATTCTACAAAAAGAGTGTTTCAAAACTGCTCTATCAAAAGAAAGGTTCTACTCTGTTAGTTGAGGACACACAGCACGAATAAGTTTCTGAGAATGCTTCTATCTTGTTTTTATGGGAAGACATTTCCTTTTTCACCATAGGCCTCAAAGCGCTCCAAATGTCCACTTCCAGGGAATGGAAAAAGAGTGTTTCCAACCTGCTCTATGAAAGCGAATGTTCAACTCCGTGACTTGAATGCAACCATCACAAGGAAGTTTCTGAGAATGCTGCTGTCTGCTTTTTGTACCTTATCCCGTTTCCAACGAAATCCTCAAATCCAGCCAAATATCCACTTGCAGACTCCACAAAAAGAGTGTTTCAAAACTATACTCTCCAAAGAAATGTTCAACTCTGTTAGTTGAGGACACACATCAGAGACTAGCTTCTGAGAATGCTTCTGTCCAGTTGTTACGGGAAGATATTTCCTTTTTCAACATAGGCCTGAAACCGCTTCAAATGTCCACTTCCAGATACTGCAAAGAGAGTGTTTCAAACCTTCTCTACGAAAGGGCATGTTCTCCTCAGTGACGTCAATGCAAACATCCCAAAGAAGTTTCTGAGAATGCTTCTGTCTGGATTTTATCTGAAGACAATCCCGTTTCCAACGAAATCCTCAAACTATGCAAATATGCTCCTGCAGATTCTACAAAAAGAGTGTTTCAAAACTGCTCTATGAAAAGAAAGGTACGACCCTGTTAGTAGAGGGCACAAATCACAAACTAGTTGCGAGAATGCTTCTCTCTAGTTTTTATGGGAAGATATTTCCTTTTTCAACACAAGCCTGAATGCGCTCGAAATGGACACTTCCAGTTACGACAAAAGGACAGATTCAAACCTGTTCTATGAAAGGGAACGTTCCATTCTGTGACTTGAATGAAAACATCACCAAGAAGTTTCTGAGAACGCTGCTGTCTGCTTTTTATATGTATTCCCGTTTCCAACAAAATCGTCAAAGCCAGCCAAATATCCACTTGCAGATTCCACAAAAAGAGTGTTTCAAAACTGCTCGCTCAAAAGAAATGTTCAACAATGTCAGTTGAGGACACACATCACAAATAAGTTTCTGAGAACGCTTCTATCTAGTTTTGATGGGAAGATATTTCCTTTTTCACCATAGGCCTCAAAGCGCTCCAAATGTCCACTTCCAGGGAATGGAAAAAGAGTGTTTCCAACCTGCTCTATGAAAGCGAATGTTCAACTCCGTGACTTGAATGCAACCATCACAAGGAAGTTTCTGAGAATGCTTCTGTCTAGATTTTATATGAAGATATTCCCGTTTCCAAGGAAATCCTCAAAGCTATCCAAATATCCACTTGGAGATTCTACAAAAAGAGTGTTTCAAAACTGCTCTATCAAAAGAAAGGTTCTACTCCGTTAGTTGAGGACACACATCACTAGTAACTTTCTGAGAATGCTTCTGTCTAGTTTTTATGGGAAGATATGTCCTTTTTCACCTTAGGCCGGAAAGCGCTCCAAAAGTCCAGTTACAGACACTACAAAAAGAGTGTTTCAAACCTGCTCTGTGAAAGGGAATGTTCAATTCTGTGACTTGAATGCAAACATCACAAAGAAGTTGCTGAGAATGCTGCTGTCTGCTTTTTATACCTTATCCCGTTTCCAACGAAATCCTCAAATCCAGCCAAATATCCACTTGCACACTCCACAAAAAGAGTTTTTCAAAACTATACTCTCCAAAGAAATGTTCAACTCTGTTAGTTGAGGACACACATCAGAGACTAGCTTCTGAGAATGCTTCTGTCCAGTTGTTACGGGAAGATATTTCCTTTTTCAACATAGGCCTGAAACCGCTTCAAATGTCCACTTCCAGATACTGCAAAGAGAGTGTTTCAAACCTTCTCTACGAAAGGGCATGTTCTCCTCAGTGACGTCAATGCAAACATCCCAAAGAAGTTTCTGAGAATGCTTCTGTCTGGATTTTATCTGAAGACAATCCCGTTTCCAACGAAATCCTCAAAGCTATGCAAATATCCTCCTGCAGATTCTACAAAAAGAGTGTTTCAAAACTGCTCTATGAAAAGAAAGGTTCAACTCTGTTAGTAGAGGGCACACATCACAAACAAGTTGCTGAGAATGCTTCTGTCTGGTTTTTATGGGAAGATATTTCCTTTTCCAACACAAGCCTGAATGCGCTCCAAATGGACACTTCCAGATACGACAAAAGGAGTGTTTCAAACCTGTTCTGTGAAAGGGAACGTTCCATTCTGTGACTTGAATGCAAACATCACCAAGTAGTTTCTCAGAACGCTGCTGTCTGCTTTTTATATGTATTTCCGTGTCCAACGAAATCATCAAAGCCAGCCAAATATCCACTTGCAGATTCCACAAAAAGAGTGTTTCAAAACTGCTCTCTCAAAAGAAATGTTCTAATCTGTTAGTTGAGGACATACATCACAAATAAGTTTCTGAGAATGCTTCTGTCTAGTTTTGATGGGAAGATATTTCCTTTTTCACCATAGGCCTCAAAGCGCTCCAAATGTCCACTTCCAGGGAATGGAAAAAGAGTGTTTCCAACCTGCTCTATGAAAGTGAATGTTCAACCCCGTGACTTGAATGCAACCATCACAAGGAAGTTTCTGAGAATTCTTCTGTCTTGATTTTATATGAAGATCTTCCCGTTTCCAACGAAATCCTCAAAGCTATCCAAATATCCTCTTGCAGATTCTACAAAAAGAGTGTTTCAAAACTGCTCTATCAAAAGAAAGGTTCTACTACGTCAGTTGAGGACACACATCACGAGTAAGTTTCTGAGAATGCTTCTGTCTGGTTTTTATGGGAAGATATGTCCTTTTTCACCTTAGGCCGGAAAGCGCTCCAAAGGTCCACTTACAGACACTACAAATAGAGTGTTTCAAACCTGCTCTGTGAAAGGGAATGTTCAATTCTGTGACTTGAATGCAAACATCACAAAGAAGTTTCTGAGAATGCTGCTGACGGGTTTTTATATGTAATCCCGTTTCCAACGAAATCCTAAAAATTTAGCCAAATATCCACTTGCAGACTCCACAAAAAGAGTGTTTCAAAACTGTTCTGTCAAAAGAAATGTTCAACTCTGTTAGTTGAGCACACACATCAGAGACTAGCTTCTGAGAATGCTTCTGTCCAGTTGTTACGGGAAGATATTTCCTTTTTCAACATAGGCCTGAAACCACTTCAAATGTCCACTTCCAGATACTGCAAAGAGAGTGTTTCAAACCTTCTCTACGAAAGGGCATGTTCTCCTCTGTGACGTCAATGCAAACATCCCAAAGAAGTTTCTGAGAATGCTTCTGTCTGGATTTTATCTGAAGACAATCCCGTTTCCAACGAAATCCTCAAATCTATACAAATATCCTCCTGCAGATTCTACAAAAAGAGTGTTTCAAAGCTGCTCTATGAAAAGAAAGGTTCAACTCTGTTAGTAGAGGGCACACATCACAAACAAGTTGCTGAGAATGCTTCTGTCTGATTTTTATGGGAAGATATTTCCTTTTCCAACACAAGCCTGAATGCGCTCCAAACGGACACTTCGAGATACGACAAAAGGAGTGTTTCAAACCTGTTCTGTGAAAGGGAACGTTCCATTCTGTGACTTGAATGCAAACATCACCAAGTAGTTTCTCAGAACGCTGCTGTCTGCTTTTTATATGTATTCCCGTTTCCAACGAAATCCTCAAAGCCAGCCAAATATCCACTTGCAGATTCCACAAAAAGAGTGTTTCAAAACTGCTCTCTCAAAAGAAATGTTCAACTCTGTCAGTTGAGGACACACATCACAAATAAGTTTCTGAGAATGCTTCTGTCTAGGTTTTATGGGAAGATATTTCCTTTTCCACCTTAGGCCTCAAAGCGCTCCAAACGTCCACTTTCAGGGAATGGAAAAAGAGTGTTTCCAACCTGCTCTATGAAAGCGAATGTTCAACTCCGTGACTTGAAAGCAACCATCACAAGGAAGTTTCTGAGAATGCTTCTGTCTAGATTTTATATGAAGATATTCCCGTTTCCAATGAAATCCTCAAAGCTATCCAAATATCCACTTGGAGATTCTACAAAAAGAGTTTTTCAAAACTGCTCTATCAAAAGAAAGGTTCTACTCCGTTAGTTGAGGACACACATCACGAGTAGCTTTCTGAGAATGCTTCTGTCTAGTTTTTATGGGAAGATATGTCCTTTTTCACCTTAGGACGGAGAGCGCTCCAAAGGTCCACTTACACACACTACAAAAAGAGTGTTTTACACCTGCTCTGTGAAAGGGAATGTTCAATTCTGTGACTTGAATGCCAACATCACAAAGAAGTTTCTGAGAATGCTGCTGTCTGCTTTTTATACCTTATCCCGTTTCCAACGAAATCCTCAAATCCAGCCAAATATCCACTTGCAGACTCCACAAAAAGAGTGTTTCAAAACTGTACTGTCAAAAGAAATGTTCAACTCTGTTAGTTGAGGACACACATCAGAGACTAGCTTCTGAGAATGCTTCTGTCCAGTTGTTACGGGAAGATATTTCCTTTTTCAACATAGGCCTGAAACCACTTCAAATGTCCACTTCCAGATACTGCAAAGAGAGTGTTTCAAACCTTCTCTACGAAAGGGCATGTTCTCCTCTGTGACGTCAATGCAAACATCCCAAAGAAGTTTCTGAGAATGCTTCTGTCTGGATTTTATCTGAAGACAATCCCGTTTCCAACGAAATCCTCAAAGATATGCAAATATGCTCCTGCAGATTCTACAAAAAGAGTGTTTCAAAACTGCTCTATGAATAGAAAGGTTCGACTCTGTTAGTAGAGGGCACACATCACAAACAAGTTGCCGAGAATGCTTCTGTCTGATTTTTTTGGGAAGATATTTCCTTTTCCAACACAAGCCTGAATGCGCTCCAAATGGACACTTCCAGATACGACAAAAGGAGTGTTTCAAACCTGTTCTGTGAAAGGGAACGTTCCATTCTGTGACTTGAATGCAAACATCACCAAGTAGTTTCTCAGAACGCAGCTGTCTGCTTTTTATATGTATTCCCGTTTCCAACGAAATCGTCAAACCAGCTAAATATCCACTTGCAGGTTCCACAGAAAGAGTGTTTCAAAACTGCTCTCTCAAAAGACATGTTCAACTCTGTCAGTTGAGGACACACATCACAATGAAGTTTCTGAGAATGCTTCTGTCTAGTTTTTTTGGGAAGATATTTCCTTTTTCACCATAGGCCTCAAAGCGCTCCAAATGTCCACTTCCAGGTAATGGAAAAAGAGTGTTTCAAACATGCTCTATGAAAGCGAATGTTCAACTCTGTGACTTGAATGCAACCATCACAAGGAAGTTTCTGATAATACTTCTCTCTAGATTTTATATGAAGATATTCCCGTTTCCAACGAAATCCACAAAGCTATCGAAATATCCACTTGCAGATTCTACAAAAAGAGTGTTTCAAAACTGCTCTATGAAAAGAAAGGTTCTACCCCTTTAGTTGAGGACACACATCACGAGTAAGTTTCTGAGAATGCTTCTGTCTAGTTTTTATGGGAAGATATGTCCTTTTTCACCTTAGGCCGGAAAGCGCTCCAAATGTCCACTTACAGACACTACAAAAAGTGTGTTTCAAACCTGCTCTGTGAAAGGGAATGTTCAATTCTGTGACTTGAATGCAAACATCACAAAGTAGTTTCTGAGAATGCTGCTGTCTGCTTTTTATACGTAATCCCGTTTCCAACGAAATCCTCAAATCTAGCCAAATATCCACTTGCAGACTCCACAAAAAGAGTGTTTCAAAACTGTTCTGTCTAAAGAAATGTTCAACTCTGTTAGTTGAATTCACACATGAGAGACTAGCTTCTGATAATGCTTCTGTCCAGTTGTTACGGGAAGATATTTCCTTTTTCAACATAGGCCTGAAACCACTTCAAATGTCCACTTCCAGATACTACAAAGAGAGTGTTTCAAACCTTCTCTACGAAAGGGCATGTTCTCCTCAGTGACGTCAATGCAAACATCCCAAAGAAGTTTCTGAGAATGCTTCTGTCTGGATTTTATCTGAAGACAATCCCGTTTCCAACCAAATCCTCAAAGATATACAAATATGCTCCTGCAGATTCTACAAAAAGAGTGTTTCAAAACTGCTCTATGAATAGAAAGGTTCGACTCTGTTAGTAGAGGGCACACATCACAAACAAGTTGCCGAGAATGCTTCTGTCTGATTTTTATGGGAAGATATTTCCTTTTCCAACACAAGCCTGAATGCGCTCCAAACGGACACTTCGAGATACGACAAAAGGAGTGTTTCAAACCTGTTCTGTGAAAGGGAACGTTCCATTCTGTGACTTGAATGCAAACATCACCAAGTAGTTTCTCAGAACGCTGCTGTCTGCTTTTTATATGTATTCCCGTTTCCAACGAAATCCTCAAAGCCAGCCAAATATCCACTTGCAGATTCCACAAAAAGAGTGTTTCAAAACTGCTCTCTCAAAAGAAATGTTCAACTCTGTCAGTTGAGGACACACATCACAAATAAGTTTCTGAGAATGCTTCTGTCTAGTTTTTTTGGGAAGATATTTCCTTTTTCACCATAGGCCTCAAAGCGCTCCAAATATCCACTTCCAGGTAATGGAAAAAGAGTGTTTCAAACATGCTCTATGAAAGCGAATGTTCAACTCTGTGACTTGAATGCAACCATCACAAGGAAGTTTCTGATAATACTTCTCTCTAGATTTTATATGAAGATATTCCCGTTTCCAACGAAATCCACAAAGCTATCGAAATATCCACTTGCAGATTCTACAAAAAGAGTGTTTCAAAACTGCTCTATCAAAAGAAAGGTTCTACCCCTTTAGTTGAGGACACACATCACGAGTAAGTTTGCTGAGAATGCTTCTGTCTAGTTTTTATGGGAAGATATGTCCTTTTTCACCTTAGGCCGGAAAGCGCTCCAAAAGTCCAGTTACAGACACTACAAAAAGAGTGTTTCAAACCTGCTATGTGAAAGGGAATGTTCAATTCTGTGACTTGAATGCAAACATCACAAAGAAATTGCTGAGAATGCTGCTGTCTGCTTTTTGTACCTTATCCCGTTTCCAACGAAATCCTCAAATCCAGCCAAATATCCACTTGCAGACTCCACAAAAAGAGTGTTTCAAAACTATACTCTCCAAAGAAATGTTCAACTCTGTTAGTTGAGGACACACATCAGAGACTAGCTTCTGAGAATGCTTCTGTCCAGTTGTTACGGGAAGATATTTCCTTTTTCAACATAGGCCTGAAACCGCTTCAAGTGTCCACTTCCAGATACTGCAAAGAGAGTGTTTCAAACCTTCTCTACGAAAGGGCATGTTCTCCTCTGTGACGTCAATGCAAACATCCCAAAGAACTTTCTGAGAATGCTTCTGTCTGGATTTTATCTGAAGACAATCCCGTTTCCAACGAAATCCTCAAATCTATACAAATATCCTCCTGCAGATTCTACAAAAAGAGTGTTTCAAAGCTGCTCTATGAAAAGAAAGGTTCAACTCTGTTAGTAGAGGGCACACATCACAAACAAGTTGCTGAGAATGCTTCTGTCTAGTTTTTATGGGAAGATATTTCCTTTTTCAACACAAGCCTGAATGCGCTCCAAATGGACACTTCCAGATACGACAAAAGGAGAGTTTCAAATCAGTTCTATGAAAGGGAACGTTCCATTCTGTGACTTGAATGCAAACATCACCAAGAAGTTTCTCAGAACGCTGCTGTCTGCTTTTTATATGTATTCCCGTTTCCAACGAAATCGTCAAAGCCAGCCAAATATCCACTTGCAGGTTCCACAGAAAGAGTGTTTCAAAACTGCTCTCTCAAAAGACATGTTCAACTCTGTCAGTTGAGGACACACATCACAAAGAAGTTTCTGAGAATGCTTCTGTCTAGTTTTTTTGGGAAGATATTTCCTTTTTCACCATAGGCCTCAAAGCGCTCCAAAAGTCCACTTCCAGGTAATGGAAAAAGAGTGTTTCAAACATGCTCTATGAAAGCGAATGTTCAACTCTGTGACTTGAATGCAACCATCACAAGGGAAGTTTCTGATAATACTTCTCTCTAGATTTTATATGAAGATATTCCCGTTTCCAACGAAATCCACAAAGCTATCGAAATATCCACTTGCAGATTCTACAAAAAGATTGTTTCAAAACTGCTCTATCAAAAGAAAGGTTCTACCCCTTTAGTTGAGGACACACATCACGAGTAAGTTTCTGAGAATGCTTCTGTCTAGTTTTTATGGGAAGATATGTCCTTTTTCACCTTAGGCCGGAAAGCGCTCCAAAAGTCCAGTTACAGACACTACAAAAAGAGTGTTTCAAACCTGCTCTGTGAAAGGGAATGTTCAATTCTGTAACTTGAATGCAAAGATCACAAAGAAGTTGCTGAGAATGCTGCTGTCTGCTTTTTATACCTTATCCCGTTTCCAACGAAATCCTCAAATCCAGCCAAATATCCACTTGCAGACTCCACAAAAAGAGTGTTTCAAAACTATACTCTCCAAAGAAATGTTCAACTCTGTTAGTTGAGGACACACATCAGAGACTAGCTTCTGAGAATGCTTCTGTCCAGTTGTTACGGGAAGATATTTCCTTTTTCAACATAGGCCTGAAACCGCTTCAAATGTCCACTTCCAGATACTGCAAAGAGAGTGTTTCAAACCTTCTCTACGAAAGGGCATGTTCTCCTCTGTGACGTCAATGCAAACATCCCAAAGAAGTTTCTGAGAATGCTTCTGTCTGGATTTTATCTGAGGACAATCCCGTTTCCAACGAAATCCTCAAAGATATGCAAATATGCTCCTGCAGATTCTACAAAAAGAGTGTTTCAAAACTGCTCTATGAAAAGAAAGGTTCGACTCTGTTAGTAGAGGGCACACATCACAAACAAGTTGCCGAGAATGTTTCTGTCTAGTTGTTATGGGAAGATATATCCTTTTTCAACACAAGCCTGAATGCGCTCCGAATGGACACTTCCAGATATGAGAAAAGGAGTGTTTCAAACCTGTTCTATCAAAGGGAATGTTCAATTCTGTGACTTGAATGCAAACATCACCAAGAAGTTTCTCAGAACGCTGCTGTCTGCTTTTTATATGTATTCCCGTTTCCAACGAAATCCTCAAAGCCAGCCAAATATCCACTTGCAGATTCCACAGAAAGAGTGTTTCAAAACTGCTCTCTCAAAAGAAATGTTCAACTCTGTCAGTTGAGGACACACATCACAAATAAGTTTCTGAGAATGCTTCTGTCTAGTTTTTTTGGGAAGATATTTCCTTTTTCACCATAGGCCTCAAAGCGCTCCAAATATCCACTTCCAGGTAATGGAAAAAGAGTGTTTCAAACATGCTCTATGAAAGCGAATGTTCAACTCTGTGACTTGAATGCAACCATCACAAGGAAGTTTCTGATAATACTTCTGTCTAGGTTTTATATGAAGATATTCCCGTTTCCAACGAAATCCTCAAAGCTATCCAAATATCCACTTGGAGATTCTACAAAAAGAGTGTTTCAAAACTGCTCTATCAAAAGAAAGGTTCTACTCCGTCAGTTGAGGACACACATCACGAGTAAGTTTCTGACAATGCTTCTGTCTAGTTTTTATGGGAAGATATGTCCTTTTTCACCTTAGGCCGGAAAGCGCTCCAAAAGTCCAGTTACAGACACTACAAAAAGAGTGTTTCAAACCTGCTATGTGAAAGGGAATGTTCAATTCTGTGACTTGAATGCAAACATCACAAAGAAGTTGCTGAGAATGCTGCTGTCTGCTTTTTATACCTTATCCCGTTTCCAACGAAATCCTCAAATCCAGCCAAATATCCACTTGCAGACTCCACAAAAAGAGTGTTTCAAAACTGTACTGTCAAAAGAAATGTTCAACTCTGTTAGTTGAGGACACACATGAGAGACTAGCTTCTGAGAATTCTTCTGTCCAGTTGTTACGGGAAGATATTTCCTTTTTCAACATAGGCCTGAAACCGCTTCAAATGTCCACTTCCAGATACTGCAAAGAGAGTGTTTCAAACCTTCTCTACGAAAGGGCATGTTCTCCTCAGTGACGTCAATGCAAACATCCCAAAGAAGTTTCTGAGAATGCTTCTGTCTGGATTTTATCTGAAGACAATCCCGTTTCCAACGAAATCCTCAAAGCTATGCAAATATCCTCCTGCAGATTCTACAAAAAGAGTGTTTCAAAACTGCTCTATGAAAAGAAAGGTTCAACTCTGTTAGTAGAGGGCACACATCACAAACAAGTTGCTGAGAATGCTTCTGTCTAGTTTTTATGGGAAGATATTTCCTTTTTCAACACAAGCCAGAATGCGCTCCAAATGGACACTTCCAGATATGACAAAAGGAGAGTTTCAAACCTCTTCTATGAAAGGGAACGTTCCATTCTGTGACTTGAATGCAAACATCACCAAGAAGTTTCTCAGAACGCTGCTGTCTGCTTTTTATATCTATTCCCGTTTCCAACGAAGTCGTCAACGCCAGCCAAATATCCACTTGCAAATTCCACAAAAAGAGTGTTTCAAAACTGCTCTCTCAAAAGAAATGTTCAACTCTGTCAGTTGAGGACACACATCACAAATAAGTTTCTGAGAATGCTTCTGTCTAGTTTTTTTGGGAAGATATTTCCTTTTTCACCATAGGCCTCAAAGCGCTCCAAAAGTCCACTTCCAGGTAATGGAAAAAGAGTGTTTCAAACATGCTCTATGAAAGCGAATGTTCAACTCTGTGACTTGAATGCAACCATCACAAGGAAGTTTCTGATAATACTTCTGTCTAGGTTTTATATGAAGATATTCCCGTTTCCAACGAAATCCTCAAAGCTATCCAAATATCCACTTGGAGATTCTACAAAAAGAGTGTTTCAAAACTGCTCTATCAAAAGAAAGGTTCTACTCCGTCAGTTGAGGACACACATCACGAGTAAGTTTCTGACAATGCTTCTGTCTAGTTTTTATGGGAAGATATGTCCTTTTTCACCTTAGGCCGGAAAGCGCCCCAAATGTCCAGTTACAGACACTACAAAAAGAGTGTTTCAAACCTGCTCTGTGAAAGGGAATGTTCAATTCTGTGACTTGAATGCAAACATCACAAAGAAGTTGCTGAGAATGCTGCTGTCTGCTTTTTATACCTTATCCCGTATCCAACGAAATCCTCAAATCTAGCCAAGTATCCACTTGCAGTCTCCACAAAAAGAGTGTTGCAAAACTGTACTCTCCAAAGAAATGTTCAACTCTGTTAGTTGAGGACAAACATCAGAGACTAGCTTCTGGGAATGCTTCTGTCCAGTTGTTACGGGAAGATATTTCCTTTTTCAACATAGGCCTGAAATCGCTTCAAATGTCCACTTCCAGATACTGCAAAGAGAGTGTTTCAAACCTTCTCTACGAAAGGGCATGTTCTCCTCTGTGACGTCAATGCAAACATCCCAAAGAAGTTTCTGAGAATGCTTCTGTCTGGATTTTATCTGAAGACAATCCCGTTTCGAACGAAATCCTCAAAGCTATGCAAATATGCTCCTGCAGATTCTACAAAAAGAGTGTTTCAAAACTGCTCTAGGAAAAGAAAGGTACGACCCTGTTAGTAGAGGGCAAACATCACAAACAAGTTGCCGAGAATGCTTCTGTCTGGTTTTTATGGGAAGATATTTCCTTTTCCAACACTAGCCTGAATGCGCTCCAAATGGACACTTCCAGATACGACAAAAGGCGTGTTTCAAACCTGTTCTATGAAAGGGAACGTTCCATTCTGTGACTTGAATGCAAACATCACCAAGTAGTTTCTCAGAACGCTGCTGTCTGCTTTTTATATGTATTCCCGTTTCCAACGAAATCGTCAAAGCCAGCCAAATATCCACTTGCAGGTTCCACAGAAAGAGTGTTTGAAAACTGCTCTCTCAAAAGACATTTTCAACTCTGTCAGTTGAGGACACACATCACAAAGAAGTTTCTGAGAATGCTTCTGTCTAGTTTTTATGGGAAGATATTTCCTTTTTCACCATAGGCCTCAAAGCTCTCCAAATGTCCACTTCCAGGGAATTGAAAAAGAGTGTTATCAACCTGCTCTACGAAAGCGAATGTTCAACTCCGTGACTTGAATGCAACCATCACAAGGAAGTTTCTGAGAATGCTTCTGTCTAGGTTTTATATGAAGATATTCCCGTTTCCAACGAAATCCTCAAAGCTATCCAAATATCCACTTGGAGATTCTACAAAAAGAGTGTTTCAAAACTGCTCTATCAAAAGAAAGGTTCTACTCCGTCAGTTGAGGACACACATCACGAGTAAGTTTCTGACAATGCTTCTGTCTAGTTTTTATGGAAAGATATGTCCTTTTTCACCTTAGGTCGGAAAGCGCTCCAAACGTCCACTTACAGACACTACAAAAAGAGGGTTTCAAACCTGATCTGTGAAAGGGAATGTTCAATTCTGTGACTTGAATGCAAACATCACAAAGAAGTTTCTGAGAATGCTGCTGTCGGCTTTTTATACGTAATCCCGTTTCCAACGAAATCCTAAAAATCTAGCCAAATATCCACTTGCAGACTCCACAAAAAGAGTGTTTCAAAACTGTTCTGTCTAAAGAAATGTTCAACTCTGTTAGTTGAGGACACACATCAGAGACTAGCTTCTGAGAATGCTTCTGTCCAGTTGTTAAGGGAAGATATTTCCTTTTTCAACATAGGCCTGAAACTGCTCCAAATGTCCACTTCCAGATACTACAAAAAGAGTGTTTTAAACCTTCTCTACGAAAGGGCATGTTCTCCTCTGTGACTTGAATGGAAACATCCCAGCGAAGTTTCTGAGAATGCTTCTGTCTGGATTTTATCTGAAGACAATCCCGTTTCCAACGAAATCCTCAAAGCTATGCAAATATCCTCCTGCAGATTCTACAAAAAGAGTGTTTCAAAACTGCTCTATGAAAAGAAAGGTTCAACTCTGTTAGTAGAGGGCACACATCACAAACAAGTTGCTGAGAATGCTTCTGTCTGGTTTTTATGGGAAGATATTTCCTTTTCCAACACAAGCCTGAATGCGCTCCAAATGGACACTTCCAGATACGACTAAAGGAGTGTTTCAAACCTTTTCTGGGAAAGGGAACGTTCCATTCTGTGACTTGAATGCAAACATCACCAAGTAGTTTCTCAGACGCTGCTGTCTGCTTTTTATATGTATTCCCGTTTCCAACGAAATCCTCAAAGCCAGCCAAATATCCACTTGCAGATTCCACAAAAAGAGTGTTTCAAAACTGCTCTCTCAAAAGAAATGTTCAACTCTGTCAGTTGAGGACACACATCACAAATAAGTTTCTGAGAATGCTTCTGTCTAGTTTTTTTGGGAAGATATTTCCTTTTTCACCATAGGCCTCAAAGCGCTCCAAAAGTCCACTTCCAGGTAATGGAAAAAGAGTGTTTCAAACATGCTCTATGAAAGCGAATGTTCAACTCTGTGACTTGAATGCAACCATCAAAAGGAAGTTTCTGATAATACTTCTCTCTAGATTTTATATGAAGATATTCCCGTTTCCAACGAAATCCACAAAGCTATCGAAATATCCACTTGCAGATTCTACAAAAAGAGTGTTTCAAAACTGCTCTATCAAAAGAAAGGTTCTACCCCTTTAGTTGAGGACACACATCACGAGTAAGTTTCTGAGAATGCTTCTGTCTAGTTTTTATGGGAAGATATTTCCTTTTTCACCTGAGGCCGGAAAGCGCTCCAAATGTCCACTTACAGACACTACAAAAAGAGTGTTTCAAACCTGCTCTATGAAAGGGAATGTTCAATTCTGTGACTGGAATGCAATCATCACAAAGAAGTTTCTGAGTATGCTGCTGTCTGCTTTTTCTATGTAATCCCGTTTCCAACGAAATGCTCAAATCTAGCCAAATATCCACTTGCAGATTCCACAAAAAGAGTGTTTCAAAACTGTTCTGTCTAAAGAAATGTACAACTGTGTTAGTTGAGGACACACATCAGAAACTAGTTTCTGAGAATGCTTCTGTCCAGTTGTTACGGGAATATGTTTCCTTTTCAACATAGGCCTGAAACCGCTTCAAATATCCACTTCCAGATACTGCAAAGAGAGGGTTTCAAACCTTCTCTACGAAAGGGCATGTTCTCCTCAGTGACGTCAATGCAAACATCCCAAAGAAGTTTCTGAGAATGCTTCTGTCTGGATTTTATCTGAAGACAATCCCGTTTCCAACGAAATCCTCAAAGCTATGCAAATATGCTCCTGCAGATTCTACAAAAAGAGTGTTTCAAAACTGCTCTATGAATAGAAAGGTTCGACTCTGTTAGTAGAGGGCACACATCACAAACAAGTTGCCGAGAAGGCTTCTGTCTGGTTTTTATGGGAAGATATTTCCTTTTCCAACACAAGCCTGAATGCGCTCCAAATGGACACTTCCAGATACGACAAAAAGAGTGTTTCAAACCTGTTCTGTGAAAGGGAACGTTCCATTCTGTGACTTGAATGCAAACATCACCAAGTAGTTTCTCAGAACGCTGCTGTCTGCTTTTTATATGTATTCCCGTTTCCAACGAATTCGTCAAAGCCAGCCAAATATCGACTTGCAGATTGCACAAAAAGAGTGTTTCAAAACTGCTCTCTCAAAAGAAATGTTCAACTCTGTCAGTTGAGGACACACATCACAAATAAATTTCTGAGAATGCTTCTGTCTAGTTTTTTTGGGAAGATATTTCCTTTTTCACCATAGGCCTCAAAGCGCTCCAAATGTCCACTTCCAGGTAATGGAAAAAGAGTGTTTCAAACATGCTCTATGAAAGCGAATGTTCAACTCTGTGACTTGAATGCAACCATCACAAGGAAGTTTCTGATAATACTTCTCTCTAGATTTTATATGAAGATATTCCCGTTTCCAACGAAATCCACAAAGCTATCGAAATATCCAGTTGCAGATTCTACAAAAAGAGTGTTTCAAAACTGCTCTATCAAAAGAAAGTTTCTACCCCTTTAGTTGAGGACACACATCACGAGTAAGTTTCTGAGAATGCTTCTGTCTAGTTTTTATGGGAAGATATGTCCTTTTTCACCTTAGGCCGGAAAGCGCTCCAAAAGTCCAGTTACAGACACTACAAAAAGAGTGTTTCAAACCTGCTCTGTGAAAGGGAATGTTCAATTCTGTGACTTGAATGCAAACATCACAAAGAAGTTGCTGAGAATGCTGCTGTCTGCTTTTTATACCTTATCGCGTTTCCAACGAAATCCTCAAATCCAGCCAAATATCCACTTGCAGACTCCACAAAAAGAGTGTTTCAAAACTATACTCTCCAAAGAAATGTTCAACTCTGTTAGTTGAGGACACACATCAGAGACTAGCTTCTGAGAATGCTTCTGTCCAGTTGTTACGGGAAGATATTTCCTTTTTCAACATAGGCCTGAAACCGCTTCAAATGTCCACTTCCAGATACTGCAAAGAGAGTGTTTCAAACCTTCTCTACGAAAGGGCATGTTCTCCTCTGTGACGTCAATGCAAACATCCCAAAGAAGTTTCTGAGAATGCTTCTGTCTGGATTTTATCTGAAGACAATCCCGTTTCCAAAGAAATCCTCAAAGATATGCAAATATGCTCCTTCAGATTCTACAAAAGGAGTGTTTCAAAACTGCTCTATGAATAGAAAGGTTCGACTCTGTTAGTAGAGGGCACACATCACAAACAAGTTGCCGAGAAGGCTTCTGTCTGATTTTTATGGGAAGATATTTCCTTTTCCAACACAAGCCTGAATGCGCTCCAAATGGACACTTCGAGATACGACAAAAGGAGTGTTTCAAACCTGTTCTGTGAAAGGGAACGTTCCATTCTGTGACTTGAATGCAAACATCACCAAGTAGTTTCTCAGAACGCTGCTGTCTGCTTTTTATATGTATTCCCGTTTCCAACGAAATCGTCAAAGCCAGCCAAATATCCACTTGCAGGTTCCACAGAAAGAGTGTTTCAAAACTGCTTTCTCAAAAGACATGTTCAACTCTGTCAGTTGAGGACACACATCACAAAGAAGTTTCTGAGAATGCTTCTGTCTAGTTTTTATGGGAAGATATTTCCTTTTTCACCAAAGGCCTCAAAGCACTCCAAATGTCCACTTCCAGGGAATGGAAAAAGAGTGTTTCCAACCTGCTCTATGAAAGCCAATGTTCAACTCCGTGACTTGAATGCAACCATCACAAGGAAGTTTCTGAGAATGCTTCTCTCTAGATTTTATATGAAGATATTCCCGTTTCCAACGAAATCCACAAAGCTATCGAAATATCCACTTGCAGATTCTACAAAAAGAGTGTTTCAAAACTGCTCTATGAAAAGAAAGTTTCTACCCCTTTAGTTGAGGACACACATCACGAGTAAGTTTCTGAGAATGCTTCTGTCTAGTTTGTATGGGAAGATATGTCCTTTTTCACCTCAGGCCGGAAAGCGCTCCAAAGGTCCACTTACAGACACTACAAAAAGAGTGTTTCAAACCTGCTCTGTGAAAGGGAATGTTCAATTCTGTGACTTGAATGCAAATATCACTAAGAAGTTTCTGAGAATGCTGCTGTCTGCTTTTTATACCTTATCCCGTTTCCAACGAAATCCTCAAATCCAGCCAAATATCCACTTGCAGACTCCACAAAAAGAGTGTTTCAAAACTGTACTGTCAAAAGAAATGTTCAACTCTGTTAGTTGAGGACACACATGAGAGACTAGCTTCTGAGAATTCTTCTGTCCAGTTGTTACGGGAAGATATTTCCTTTTTCAACATAGGCCTGAAACCACTTCAAATGTCCACTTCCAGATACTGCAAAGAGAGTGTTTCAAACCTTCTCTACGAAAGGGCATGTTCTCCTCTGTGACGTCAATGCAAACATCCCAAAGAAGTTTCTGAGAATGCTTCTGTCTGGATTTTATCTGAAGACAATCCCGTTTCCAAAGAAATCCTCAAAGATATGCAAATATGCTCCTTCAGATTCTACAAAAGGAGTGTTTCAAAACTGCTCTATGAATAGAAAGGTTCGACTCTGTTAGTAGAGGGCACACATCACAAACAAGTTGCCGAGAAGGCTTCTGTCTGGTTTTTATGGGAAGATATTTCCTTTTCCAACACAGGCCTGAATGCGCTCCAAATGGACACTTCCAGATACGACAAAAGGAGTGTTTCAAACCTGTTCTGTGAAAGGGAACGTTCCATTCTGTGACTTGAATGCAAACATCACCAAGTAGTTTCTCAGAACGCTGCTGTCTGATTTTTATATGTATTCCCGTTTCCAACGAAATCGTCAAACCAGCTAAATATCCACTTGCAGGTTCCACAGAAAGAGTGTTTCAAAACTGCTCTCTCAAAAGACATGTTCAACTCTGTCAGTTGAGGACACACATCACAATGAAGTTTCTGAGAATGCTTCTGTCTAGTTTTTTTGGGAAGATATTTCCTTTTTCACCATAGGCCTCAAAGCGCTCCAAATGTCCACTTCCAGGTAATGGAAAAAGAGTGCTTCAAACCTGCTCTATGAAAGCGAATGTTCAACTCTGTGACTTGAATGCAACCATCACAAGGAAGTTTCTGAGAATGCTTCTGTCTAGATTTTATATGAAGATATTCCCGTTTCCAACGAAATCCACAAAGCTATCGAAATATCCACTTGCAGATTCTACAAAAAGAGTGTTTCAAAACTGCTCTATGAAAAGAAAGGTTCTACTCCTTTAGCTGAGGACACATATCACGAGTAAGTTTCTGAGAATGCTTCTGTCTAGTTTTTATGGGAAGATATTTCCTTTTTCACCTGAGGCCGGAAAGCGCTCCAAATGTCCACTTACAGACACTACAAAAAGAGTGTTTCAAACCTGCTCTATGAAAGGGAATGTTCAATTCTGTGACTGGAATGCAATCATCACAAAGAAGTTTCTGAGAATGCTGCTGTCTGCTTTTTATATGTAATCCCGTTTCCAACGAAATGCTCAAATCTAGCCAAATATCCACTTGCAAATTCCACAAAAAGAGTGTTTCAAAACTGTTCTGTCTAAAGAAATGTTCAACTGTGTTAGTTGAGGACACACATCAGAATCTAGTTTCTGAGAATGCTTCTGTCTGGTTTTTATGGGAAGATATTTCCTTTTCCAACACAAGCCTGAATGCGCTCCAAATGGACACTTCCAGATACGACAAAAGGAGTGTTTCAAAGCTGTTCTATGAAAGGGAACGTTCCATTCTGTGACTTGAATGCAAACATCACCAAGTAGTTTCTCAGAACGCTGCTGTCTGCTTTTTATATGTATTCCCGTTTCCAACGAAATCATCAAAAACAGCCAAATATCCACTTGCATGTTCCACAAAAAGAGTGTTTCAAACGACTCTCTCAAAAGACATGTTCAACTCTGTCAGTTGAGGACACACATCACAAAGAAGTTTCTGAGAATGCTTCTGTCTAGTTTTTATGGGAAGATATTTCCTTTTTCACCATAGGCCTCAAAGCGCTCCAAATGTCCACTTCCAGGGAATGGAAAAAGAGTGTTTCCAACCTGCTCTATGAAAGCCAATGTTCAACTCCGTGACTTGAATGCAACCATCACAAGGAAGTTTCTGAGAATGCTTCTGTCTTGATTTTATATGAAGATCTTCCCGTTTCCAACGAAATCCTCAAAGCTATCCAAATATCCACTTGCAGATTCTACAAAAAGAGTGTTTCAAAACTGCTCTATCAAAAGAAAGGTTCTACTCCGTTAGTTGAGGACACACATCACGAGTAAGTTTCTGAGAATGCTTCTGTCTAGTTTTTATGGGAAGATATGTCCTTTTTCACCTTAGGCCGGAAAGCGCTCCAAAAGTCCAGTTACAGACACTACAAAAAGAGTGTTTCAAACCTGCTCTGTGAAAGGGAATGTTCAATTCTGTAACTTGAATGCAAAGATCACAAAGAAGTTGCTGAGAATGCTGCTGTCTGCTTTTTATACCTTATCCCGTTTCCAACGAAATCCTCAAATCCAGCCAAATATCCACTTGCAGACTCCACAAAAAGAGTGTTTCAAAACTATACTCTCCAAAGAAATGTTCAACTCTGTTAGTTGAGGACACACATCAGAGACTAGCTTCTGAGAATGCTTCTGTCCAGTTGTTACGGGAAGATATTTCCTTTTTCAACATAGGCCTGAAACCGCTTCAAGTGTCCACTTCCAGATACTGCAAAGAGAGTGTTTCAAACCTTCTCTACGAAAGGGCATGTTCTCCTCTGTGACGTCAATGCAAACATCCCAAAGAACTTTCTGAGAATGCTTCTGTCTGGATTTTATCTGAAGACAATCCCGTTTCCAACGAAATCCTCAAAGATATGCAAATATGCTCCTGCAGATTCTACAAAAAGAGTGTTTCAAAACTGCTCTATGAAAAGAAAAGTTCGACTCTGTTAGTAGAGGGCACACATCACAAACAAGTTGCCGAGAATGCTTCTGTCTGATTTTTTTGGGAAGATATTTCCTTTTCCAACACAAGCCTGAATGCGCTCCAAATGGACACTTCCAGATACGACAAAAGGAGTGTTTCAAACCTGTTCTGTGAAAGGGAACGTTCCATTCTGTGACTTGAATGCAAACATCACCAAGTAGTTTCTCAGAACGCAGCTGTCTGCTTTTTATATGTATTCCCGTTTCCAACGAAATCCTCAAAGCCAGCCAAATATCCACTTGCAGATTCCACAAAAAGAGTGTTTCAAAACTGCTCTCTCAAAAGAAATGTTCAACTCTGTCAGTTGAGGACACACATCACAAATAAGTTTCTGAGAATGCTTCTGTCTAGTTTTTTTGGGAAGATATTTCCTTTTTCACCATAGGCCTCAAAGCGCTCCAAAAGTCCACTTCCAGGTAATGGAAAAAGAGTGTTTCAAACATGCTCTATGAAAGCGAATGTTCAACTCTGTGACTTGAATGCAACCATCACAAGGAAGTTTCTGATAATATTTCTGTCTAGGTTTTATATGAAGATATTCCCGTTTCCAACGAAATCCTCAAAGCTATCCAAATATCCACTTGGAGATTCTACAAAAAGAGTGTTTCAAAACTGCTCTATCAAAAGAAAGGTTCTACTCCGTCAGTTGAGGACACACATCACGAGTAAGTTTCTGACAATGCTTCTGTCTAGTTTTTATGGGAAGATATGTCCTTTTTCACCTTAGGCCGGAAAGCGCTCCAAAAGTCCAGTTACAGACACTACAAAAAGAGTGTTTCAAACCTGCTCTGTGAAAGGGAATGTTCAATTCTGTGACTTGAATGCAAACATCACAAAGAAATTGCTGAGAATGCTGCTATCTGCTTTTTATACCTTATCGCGTTTCCAACGAAATCCTCAAATCCAGCCAAATATCCACTTGCAGACTGCACAAAAAGAGTGTTTCAAAACTGTACTGTCAAAAGAAATGTTCAACTCTGTTAGTTGAGGACACACATCAGAGACTAGCTTCTGAGAATGCTTCTGTCCAGTTGTTACGGGAAGATATTTCCTTTTTCTAAATAGGCCTGAAACCGCTTCAAATGTCCGCTTCCAGATACTGCAAAGGGAGTGTTTCAAACCTTCTCTACGAAAGGGCATGTTCTCCTCTGTGACGTCAATGCAAACATCCCAAAGAAGTTTCTGAGAATGCTTCTGTCTGGATTTTATCTGAAGACAATCCCGTTTCCAACGAAATCCTCAAAGCTATGCAAATATGCTCCTGCAGATTCTACAAAAAGAGTGTTTCAAGACTGCTCTATGAATAGAAAGGTTCGACTCTGTTAGTAGAGGGCACACATCACAAACAAGTTGCCGAGAAGGCTTCTGTCTGGTTTTTATGGGAAGATATTTCCTTTTCCAACACAAGCCTGAATGCGCTCCAAATGGACACTTCCAGATACGACAAAAGGAGTGTTTCAAACCTGTTCTGTGAAAGGGAACGTTCCATTCTGTGACTTGAATGCAAACATCACCAAGTAGTTTCTCAGAACGCTGCTGTCTGCTTTTTATATGTATTCCCGTTTCCAACGAAATCGTCAAAGCCAGCCAAATATCCACTTGCAGGTTCCACAGAAAGATTGTTTCAAAACTGCTTTCTCAAAAGACATGTTCAACTCTGTCAGTTGAGGACACACATCACAAAGAAGTTTCTGAGAATGCTTCTGTCTAGTTTTTATGGGAAGATATTTCCTTTTTCACCATAGTCCTCAAAGCGCTCCAAATGTCCACTTCCAGGGAATGGAAAAAGAGTGTTTCCAACCTACTGTATGAAAGCCAATGTTCAACTCCGTGACTTGAATGCAACCATCACAAGGAAAGTTTCTGAGAATGCTTCTGTCTAGGTTTTATATGAAGATATTCCCGTTTCCAACGAAATCCTCAAAGCTATCCAAATATCCACTTGGAGATTCTACAAAAAGAGTGTTTCAAAACTGCTCTATCAAAAGAAAGGTTCTACTCCGTCAGTTGAGGACACACATCACGAGTAAGTTTCTGACAATGCTTCTGTCTAGTTTTTATGGGAAGATATGTCCTTTTTCACCTTAGTCCGGAAAGCGCTCCAAAAGTCCAGTTACAGACACTACAAAAAGAGTGTTTCAAAGCTGCTCTGTGAAAGAGAATGTTCAATTCTGTGACTTGAATGCAAACATCACAAAGAAGTTTCTGAGAATGCTGCTGTCTGCTTTTTACACGTAAACCCGTTTCCAACGATATCCTCAAATCTAGACAAATATCCTCTTGCAGACTCCTCAAAAAGAGTGTTTCAAAACTTTTCTGTCAAAAGAAATGTTCAACTCTGTTAGTTGAGGACACACATCAGAGACTAGCTTCTGAGAATGCTTCTGTCCAGTTGTTACGGGAAGATATTTCCTTTTTCAACATAGGCCTGAAACCGCTTCAAATTTCCACTTCCAGATACTGCAAAGAGAGTGTTTCAAACCTTCTCTACGAAAGGGCATGTTCTCCTCTGTGACGTCAATGCAAACATCCCAAAGAAGTTTCTGAGAATGCTTCTGTCTGGATTTTATCTGAGGACAATCCCGTTTCCAACGAAATCCTCAAAGATATGCAAATATGCTCCTGCAGATTCTACAAAAAGAGTGTTTCAAAACTGCTCTATGAAAAGAAAGGTTCGACTCTGTTAGTAGAGGGCACACATCACAAACAAGTTGCCGAGAATGTTTCTGTCTGGTTTTTATGGGAAGATATTTCCTTTTCCAACACAAGCCTGAATGCGCTCCAAATGGACACTTCCAGATACGACAAAAGGAGTGTTTCAAACCTGTTCTGTGAAAGGGAACGTTCCATTCTGTGACTTGAATGCAAACATCACCAAGTAGTTTCTCAGAACGCTGCTGTCTGCTTTTTATATGTATTCCCGTTTCCAACGAAATCCTCAAAGCCAGCCAAATATCCACTTGCAGATTCCACAAAAAGAGTGTTTCAAAACTGCTCTCTCAAAAGAAATGTTCAACTCTGTCAGTTGAGGACACACATCACAAATAAGTTTCTGAGAATGCTTCTGTCTAGTTTTTATGGGAAGATATTTCCTTTTTCACCATAGGCCTCAAAGCGCTCCAAATGTCCACTTCCAGGGAATGGAAAAAGAGTGTTTCCAACCTGCTCTATGAAAGCCAATGTTCAACTCCGTGACTTGAATGCAACCATCACAAGGAAGTTTCTGAGAATGCTTCTGTCTAGATTTTATATGAAGATATTCCCGTTTCCAACGAAATCCTCAAAGCTATCCAAATATCCACTTGGAGATTCTACAAAAAGAGTGTTTCAAAACTGCTCTATCAAAAGAAAGGTTCTACTCCGTCAGTTGAGGACACACATCACGAATAAGTTTCTGACAATGCTTCTGTGTAGTTTTTATGGGAAGATAGGTCCTTTTTCACCTTAGTCCGGAAAGCGCCCCAAAAGTCCAGTTACAGACACTACAAAAAGAGTGTTTCAGACCTGCTCTGTGAAAGGGAATGTTCAATTCTGTGACTTGAATGCAAACATCACAAAGAAGTTGCTGAGAATGCTGCTGTCTGCTTTTGATACCTTATCCCGTTTCCAACGAAATCCTCAAATCTAGCCAAGTATCCACTTGCAGTCTCCACAAAAAGAGTGTTTCAAAACTGTACTGTCCAAAGAAATGTTCAACTCTGTTAGTTGAGAACACACTTCAGAGACTAGCTTCTGAGAATGCTTCTGTCCAGTTGTTACGGGAAGATATTTCCTTTTTCAACATAGGCCTGAAACCGCTTCAAATGTCCACTTCCAGATACTGCAAAGAGAGTGTTTCAAACCTTCTCTACGAAAGGGCATGTTCTCCTCTGTGACGTCAATGCAAACATCCCAAAGAAGTTTCTGAGAATGCTTCTGTCTGGATTTTATCTGAAGACAATCCCGTTTCGAACGAAATCCTCAAAGCTATGCAAATATGCTCCTGCAGATTCTACAAAAAGAGTGTTTCAAAACTGCTCTAGGAAAAGAAAGGTACGACCCTGTTAGTAGAGGGCAAACATCACAAACAAGTTGCCGAGAATGCTTCTGTCTGGTTTTTATGGGAAGATATTTCCTTTTCCAACACAAGCCTGAATGCGCTCCAAATGGACACTTCCAGATACGACAAAAGGAGTGTTTCAAACCTGTTCTGTGAAAGGGAACGTTCCATTCTGTGACTTGAATGCAAACATCACCAAGTAGTTTCTCAGAACGCTGCTGTCTGCTTTTTATATGTATTCCCGTTTCCAACGAAATCGTCAAAGCCAGCAAAATATCCACTTGCAGATTCCACAAAAAGAGAGTTTCAAAACTGCTCTCTCAAAAGAAATATTCAACTGTGTCAGTTGAGGACACACATCCCAAAGAAGTTTCTGAGAATGCTTCTGTCTAGTTTTGATGGGAAGATATTTCCTTTTTCACCATAGGCCTCGAAGCGCTCCAAATGTCCACTTCCAGGGAATGGAAAAAGAGTGTTTCCAACCTGCTCTATGAAAGCGAATTTTCAACTCCGTGATTTGAATGCAACCATCACAAGGAAGTTTCTGAGAATGCTTCTGTCTAGATTTTATATGAAGATATTCCCGTTTCCAATGAAATCCTCAAAGCTATGCAAATATCCACTTGCAGATTTTACAAAAAGAGTGTTTCAAAACTGCTCTATCAAAAGAAAGGTTCTACTTCGTTAGTTCAGGGCACACATCACAAATAAGTTTCTGAGAATGCTTCTGTCTAGTTTTTATTGGAAGATATTTCCTTTTTCACCATAGGCCTTGAAGCGCTCCAAACGTCCACTTCCAGGGAATGGAAAAGGATTGTTTCCAACCTGCTCTATGAAAGCAAATGTTCAACTCCGTGACTTGAATGCAATCATCACAAGGAAGTTTCTGAGAATGCTGCTGTCTGCTTTTTATACCTTATCCCGTTTCCAACGAAATCCTCAAATCCAGCCAAATATCCACTTGCAGACTCCACAAAAAGAGTGTTTCAAAACTATACTCTCCAAAGAAATGTTCAACTCTGTTAGTTGAGGACACACATCAGAGACTAGCTTCTGAGAATGCTTCTCTCCACTTGTTACGGGAAGATATTTCCTTTTTCAACATACGCCTGAAACCGCTCCAAATGTCCACTTCCACATACTACAAAAAGAGTGTTTCAAACCTTCTCTACGAAAGGGCATGTTCTCCTCTGTGACTTGAATGCAAACATCCCAAAGAAGTTTCTGAGAATGCTTCTGTCTGGATTTTATCTGAAGACAATCCCGTTTCCAACGAAATCCTCAAAGATATGCAAATATGCTCCTGCAGATTCTACAAAAAGAGTGTTTCAAAACTGCTCTATGAATAGAAATGTTCGACTCTGTTAGTAGAGGGCACACATCACAAACAAGTTGCCAAGAAGGCTTCTGTCTGGTTTTTATGGGAAGATATTTCCTTTTCCAACACAAGCCTGAATGCGCTCCAAATGGACACTTCCAGATACGACAAAAGGAGTGTTTCAAACCTGTTCTGTGAAAGGGAACGTTCCATTCTGTGACTTGAATGCAAACATCACCAAGTAGTTTCTCAGAACGCTGCTGTCTGCTTTTTATATGTATTCCCGTTTCCAACGAAGTCGTCAAAGCCAGCCAAATATCCACTTGCAGATTCCACAAAAAGAGTGTTTCAAAACTGCTCTCTCAAAAGAAATGTTCAACTCTGTCAGGTGAGGACACACATCACAAATAAGTTTCTGAGAATGCTTCTGTCTAGTTTTTATGGGAAGATATTTCCTTTTTCACCATAGGCCTCAAAGCGCTCCAAATGTCCACTTCCAGGGAATGGAAAAAGAGTGTTTCCAACCTGCTCTATGAAAGCCAATGTTCAACTCCGGTGACTTGAATGCAACCATCACAAGGAAGTTTCTGAGAATGCTTCTGTCTAGATTTTATATGAAGATATTCCCGTTTCCAATGAAATCCTCAAAGCTATCCAAATATCCACATGCAGATTCTACAAAAAGATTGTTTCAAAACTGCTCTATTAAAAGAAAGGTTCTATTCCGTTAGTTGAGGACACACATCACGAGTAAGTTTCTGAGAATGCTTCTGTCTAGTTTTTATGGGAAGATATGTCCTTTTTCACCTTAGGCCGGAAAGCGCTCCAAAAGTCCAGTTACAGACACTACAAAAAGAGTGTTTCAAACCTGCTCTGTGAAAGGGAATGTTCAATTCTGTGACTTGAATGCAAACATCACAAAGAAATTGCTGAGAATGCTGCTGTCTGCTTTTTATACCTTATCCCGTTTCCAACGAAATCCTCAAATCCAGCCAAATATCCACTTGCAGACTCCACAAAAAGAGTGTTTCAAAACTATACTCTCCAAAGAAATGTTCAACTCTGTTAGTTGAGGACACACATCAGAGACTAGCTTCTGAGAATGCTTCTGTCCAGTTGTTACGGGAAGATATTTCCTTTTTCAACATAGGCCTGAAACCGCTTCAAATGTCCACTTCCAGATACTGCAAAGAGAGTGTTTCAAACCTTCTCTACGAAAGGGCATGTTCTCCTCAGTGACGTCAATGCAAACATCCCAAAGAAGTTTCTGAGAATGCTTCTGTCTGGATTTTATCTGAAGACAATCCCGTTTCCAAAGAAATCCTCAAAGATATGCAAATATGCTCCTTCAGATTCTACAAAAGGAGTGTTTCAAAACTGCTCTATGAATAGAAAGGTTCGACTCTGTTAGTAGAGGGCACACATCACAAACAAGTTGCCGAGAAGGCTTCTGTCTAGTTTTTGTGGGAAAATATTTCCTTTTTCAACACAATCTTGAATTCGCTCAAAATGGACACTTCCAGATACGACAAAAGGAGTGTTTCAAACCTGTTCTATGAAAGGGGACGCTTCATTCTATGACTTCAATGCAAACATCACCAAGAAGTTTCTGAGAACGCTGCTATCTGCTTTTTATATGTATTCCCGTTTCCAACAAAATCGTCAAAGCCAGCCAAATATCCACTTGCAGATTCCACAAAAAGAGTGTTTCAAAACTGCTCGCTCAAAAGAAATGTTCAACAATGTCAGTTGAGGACACACATCACAAATAAGTTTCTGAGAACGCTTCTATCTAGTTTTGATGGGAAGACACTCCCTTTTTCACCATAGGCCTCCAAGCGCTCCAAATGTCCACTTCCAGGGAAAGGAAAAAGAGTGTTTCCAACCTCCTCTATGAAAGCGAATGTTCAACTCAGTGACTTGAATGCAACCATCACAAGGAAGTTTCTGAGAATGCTTCTCTCTAGATTTTATATGAAGATATTCCCGTTTCCAACGAAATCCACAAAGCTATCGAAATATCCACTTGCAGATTCTACAAAAAGAGTGTTTCAAAACTGCTCTATCAAAAGAAAGGTTTTACCCCTTTAGTTGAGGACACACATCACGAGTAAGTTTCTGAGAATGCTTCTGTCTAGTTTTTATGGGAAGATATGTCCTTTTTCACCTTAGGCCGGAAAGCGCTCCAAAAGTCCAGTTACAGACACTACAAAAAGAGTGTTTCAAACCTGCTCTGTGAAAGGGAATGTTAAATTCTGTGACTTGAATGCAAACATCACAAAGAAATTGCTGAGAATGCTGCTGTCTGCTTTTTATACCTTATCCCGTTTCCAACGAAATCCTCAAATCCAGCCAAATATCCACTTGCAGACTCCACAAAAAGAGTGTTTCAAAACTGTACTGTCAAAAGAAATGTTCAACTCTGTTAGTTGAGGACACACATCAGAGACTAGCTTCTGAGAATGCTTCTGTCCAGTTGTTACGGGAAGATATTTCCTTTTTCTAAATAGGCCTGAAACCGCTTCAAATGTCCGCTTCCAGATACTGCAAAGGGAGTGTTTCAAACCTTCTCTACGAAAGGGCATGTTCTCCTCTGTGACGTCAATGCAAACATCCCAAAGAAGTTTCTGAGAATGCTTCTGTCTGGATTTTATCTGAAGACAATCCCGTTTCCAACGAAATCCTCAAAGATATGCAAATATGCTCCTGCAGATTCTACAAAAAGAGTGTTTCCAAACTGTTCTATGAATAGAAAGGTTCGACTCTGTTAGTAGAGGGCACACATCACAAACAAGTTGCCGAGAATGCTTCTGTCTAGTTTTTATGGGAAGATATTTCCTTTTTCAACACAAGCCTGAATGCCATACAAATGGACACTTCCAGTTACGACAAAAGGAGAGTTGCAAACCTGTTCTATGAAAGGGAACGTTCCATTCTGTGACTTGAATGAAAACATCACCAAGAAGTTTCTGAGAACGCTGCTGTCTGCTTTTTACATGTATTCCCGTTTCCAACGAATTCGTCAAAGCCAGCCAAATATCGACTTGCAGATTGCACAAAAAGAGTGTTTCAAAACTGCTCTCTCAAAAGAAACGTTCAACTCTGTCAGTTGAGGACACACATCACAAATAAATTTCTGAGAATGCTTCTGTCTAGTTTTTATGGGAAGATATTTCCTTTTTCACCATAGGCCTCAAAGTGCTCCAAATGTCCACTTCCAGGGAATGGAAAAAGAGTGTTTCCAACCTGCTCTATGAAAGCCAATGTTCAACTCCGTGACTTGAATGCAACCATCTCAAGGAAGTTTCTGAGAATGCTTCTGTCTAGGTTTTATATGAAGATATTCCCGATTCCAACGAAATCCTCAAAGCTATCCAAATATCCACTTGGAGATTCTACAAAAAGAGTGTTTCAAAACTGCTCTATCAAAAGAAAGGTTCTACTCCGTCAGTTGAGGACACACATCACGAGTAAGTTTCTGACAATGCTTCTGTCTAGTTTTTATGGGAAGATATGTCCTTTTTCACCTTAGGCCGGAAAGCGCTCCAAAAGTCCAGTTACAGACACTACAAAAAGAGTGTTTCAAACCTGCTCTGTGAAAGGGAATGTTCAATTCTGTGACTTGAATGCAAACATCACAAAGAAATTGCTGAGAATGCTGCTGTCTGCTTTTTATACCTTATCGCGTTTCCAACGAAATCCTCAAATCCAGCCAAATATCCACTTGCAGACTCCACAAAAAGAGTGTTTCAAAACTATACTCTCCAAAGAAATGTTCAACTCTGTTAGTTGAGGACACACATCAGAGACTAGCTTCTGAGAATGCTTCTGTCCAGTTGTTACGGGAAGATATTTCCTTTTTCAACATAGGCCTGAAACCGCTTCAAATGTCCACTTCCAGATACTGCAAAGAGAGTGTTTCAAACCTTCTCTACGAAAGGGCATGTTCTCCTCAGTGACGTCAATGCAAACATCTCAAAGAAGTTTCTGAGAATGCTTCTGTCTGGATTTTATCTGAAGACAATCCCGTTTCCAACGAAATCCTCAAAGATATGCAAATATGCTCCTGCAGATTCTACAAAAAGAGTGTTTCAAAACTGCTCTATGAAAAGAAAAGTTCGACTCTGTTAGTAGAGGGCACACATCACAAACAAGTTGCCGAGAATGCTTCTGTCTGGTTTTTATGGGAAGATATTTCCTTTTCCAACACAAGCCTGAATGCGCTCCAAATGGACACTTCGAGATACGACAAAAGGAGTGTTTCAAACCTGTTCTGTGAAAGGGAACGTTCCATTCTGTGACTTGAATGCAAACATCACCAAGTAGTTTCTCAGAACGCTGCTGACTGCTTTTAATATGTATTCCCGTTTCCAACGAAATCGTCAAAGCCAGCCAAATATCCACTTGCAGGTTCCACAGAAAGAGTGTTTCAAAACTGCTCTCTCAAAAGACATGTTCAACTCTGTCAGTTGAGGACACACATCACAAATAAGTTTCTGAGAATGCTTCTGTCTAGTTTTTTTGGGAAGATATTTCCTTTTTCACCATAGGCCTCAAAGCGCTCCAAAAGTCCACTTCCAGGTAATGGAAAAAGAGTGTTTCAAACATGCTCTATGAAAGCGAATGTTCAACTCTGTGACTTGAATGCAACCATCACAAGGAAGTTTCTGATAATACTTCTGTCTAGGTTTTATATGAAGATATTCCCGTTTCCAACGAAATCCTCAAAGCTATCCAAATATCCACTTGGAGATTCTACAAAAAGAGTGTTTCAAAACTGCTCTATCAAAAGAAAGGTTCTACTCCGTCAGTTGAGGACACACATCACGAGTAAGTTTCTGACAATGCTTCTGTCTAGTTTTTATGGGAAGATATGTCCTTTTTCACCTTAGGCCGGAAAGCGCTCCAAAAGTCCAGTTACAGACACTACAAAAAGAGTGTTTCAAACCTGCTCTGTGAAAGGGAATGTTCAATTCTGTGACTTGAATGCAAACATCACAAAGAAGTTGCTGAGAATGCTGCTGTCTGCTTTTTATACCTTATCCCGTTTCCAACGAAATCCTCAAATCCAGCCAAATATCCACTTGCAGACTCCACAAAAAGAGTGTTTCAAAACTGTACTGTCAAAAGAAATGTTCAACTCTGTTAGTTGAGGACACACATGAGAGACTAGCTTCTGAGAATTCTTCTGTCCAGTTGTTACGGGAAGATATTTCCTTTTTCAACATAGGCCTGAAACCACTTCAAATGTCCACTTCCAGATACTGCAAAGAGAGTGTTTCAAACCTTCTCTACGAAAGGGCATGTTCTCCTCTGTGACGTCAATGCAAACATCCCAAAGAAGTTTCTGAGAATGCTTCTGTCTGGATTTTATCTGAAGACAATCCCGTTTCCAACGAAATCCTCAAAGATATGCAAATATGCTCCTGCAGATTCTACAAAAAGAGTGTTTCAAAACTGCTCTATGAAAAGAAAAGTTCGACTCTGTTAGTAGAGGGCACACATCACAAACAAGTTGCCGAGAATGCTTCTGTCTGATTTTTTTGGGAAGATATTTCCTTTTCCAACACAAGCCTGAATGCGCTCCAAATGGACACTTCCAGATACGACAAAAGGAGTGTTTCAAACCTGTTCTGTGAAAGGGAACGTTCCATTCTGTGACTTGAATGCAAACATCACCAAGTAGTTTCTCAGAACGCAGCTGTCTGCTTTTTATATGTATTCCCGTTTCCAACGAAATCGTCAAAGCCAGCCAAATATCCACTTGCAGGTTCCACAGAAAGAGTGTTTCAAAACTGCTCTCTCAAAAGACATGTTCAACTCTGTCAGTTGAGGACACACATCACAAAGAAGTTTCTGAGAATGCTTCTGTCTAGTTTTTTTGGGAAGATATTTCCTTTTTCACCATAGGCCTCAAAGCGCTCCAAATGTCCAGTTCCAGGTAATGGAAAAAGAGTGTTTCAAACATGCTCTATGAAAGCGAATGTTCAACTCTGTGACTTGAATACAACCATCACAAGGAAGTTTCTGATAATACTTCTCTCTAGATTTTATATGAAGATATTCCCGTTTCCAACGAAATCCACAAAGCTATCGAAATATCCACTTGCAGATTCTACAAAAAGAGTGTTTCAAAACTGCTCTATCAAAAGAAAGGTTCTACCCCTTTAGTTGAGGACACACATCACGAGTAAGTTTCTGAGAATGCTTCTGTCTAGTTTTTATGGGAAGATATGTCCTTTTTCACCTTAGGCCGGAAAGCGCTCCAAAAGTCCAGTTACAGACACTACAAAAAGAGTGTTTCAAACCTGCTCTGTGAAAGGGAATGTTCAATTCTGTAACTTGAATGCAAAGATCACAAAGAAGTTGCTGAGAATGCTGCTGTCTGCTTTTTATACCTTATCGCGTTTCCAACGAAATCCTCAAATCCAGCCAAATATCCACTTGCAGACTCCACAAAAAGAGTGTTTCAAAACTATACTCTCCAAAGAAATGTTCAACTCTGTTAGTTGAGGACACACATCAGAGACTAGCTTCTGAGAATGCTTCTGTCCAGTTGTTACGGGAAGATATTTCCTTTTTCAACATAGGCCTGAAACCGCTTCAAATGTCCACTTCCAGATACTGCAAAGAGAGTGTTTCAAACCTTCTCTACGAAAGGGCATGTTCTCCTCAGTGACGTCAATGCAAACATCCCAAAGAAGTTTCTGAGAATGCTTCTGTCTGGATTTTATCTGAGGACAATCCCGTTTCCAACGAAATCCTCAAAGATATGCAAATATGCTCCTGCAGATTCTACAAAAAGAGTGTTTCAAAACTGCTCTATGAAAAGAAAGGTTCGACTCTGTTAGTAGAGGGCACACATCACAAACAAGTTGCCGAGAATGTTTCTGTCTGGTTTTTATGGGAAGATATTTCCTTTTCCAACACAAGCCTGAATGCGCTCCAAATGGACACTTCCAGATACGACAAAAGGAGTGTTTCAAACCTGTTCTGTGAAAGGGAACGTTCCATTCTGTGACTTGAATGCAAACATCACCAAGTAGTTTCTCAGAACGCTGCTGTCTGCTTTTTATATGTATTCCCGTTTCCAACGAAATCCTCAAAGCCAGCCAAATATCCACTTGCAGATTCCACAAAAAGAGTGTTTCAAAACTGCTCTCTCAAAAGAAATGTTCAACTCTGTCAGTTGAGGACACACATCACAAATAAGTTTCTGAGAATGCTTCTGTCTAGTTTTTATGGGAAGATATTTCCTTTTTCACCATAGGCCTCAAAGCGCTCCAAATGTCCACTTCCAGGGAATGGAAAAAGAGTGTTTCCAACCTGCTCTATGAAAGCCAATGTTCAACTCCGTGACTTGAATGCAACCATCACAAGGAAGTTTCTGAGAATGCTTCTCTCTAGATTTTATATGAAGATATTCCCGTTTCCAACGAAATCCACAAAGCTATCGAAATATCCACTTGCAGATTCTACAAAAAGAGTGTTTCAAAACTGCTCTATCAAAAGAAAGGTTCTACCCCTTTAGTTGAGGACACACATCACGAGTAAGTTTCTGAGAATGCTTCTGTCTAGTTTTTATGGGAAGATATGTCCTTTTTCACCTTAGGCCGGAAAGCGCTCCAAAAGTCCAGTTACAGACACTACAAAAAGAGTGTTTCAAACCTGCTCTGTGAAAGGGAATGTTCAATTCTGTGACTTGAATGCAAACATCACAAAGAAGTTGCTGAGAATGCTGCTGTCGGCTTTTTATATGTAATCCCGTTTCCAAAGAAATCCTAAAAATCTAGCCAAATATCCACTTGCAGACTCCACAAAAAGAGTGTTTCAAAACTTTTCTGTCTACAGAAATCTTCAACTCTGTTAGTTGAGGACACACATTAGAGACTATCTTACTGAGAATGCTTCTGTCCAGTTGTTACGGGAAGATATTTCCTTTTTCAACATAGGCCTGAAACCGCTTCAAATGTCCACTTCCAGATACTGCAAAGAGAGTGTTTCAAACCTTCTCTACGAAAGGGCATGTTCTCCTCAGTGACGTCAATGCAAACATCCCAAAGAAGTTTCTGAGAATGCTTCTGTCTGGATTTTATCTGAAGACAATCCCGTTTCCAACGAAATCCTCAAAGCTATCCAAATATGCTCCTGCAGATTCTACAAAAAGAGTGTTTCAAAACTGCTCTATGAATAGAAAGGTTCGACTCTGTTAGTAGAGGGCACACATCACAAACAAGTTGCCGAGAAGGCTTCTGTCTAGTTGTTATGGGAAGATATTTCCTTTTTCAACACAAGCCTGAATGCGCTCCAAATGGACACTTCCAGATATGACAAAAGGAGTGTTTCAAACCTGTTCTATTAAAGGGAATGTTCAATTCTGTGACTTGAATGCAAACATCACCAAGAAGTTTCTCAGAACGCTGCTGTCTGCTTTTTATATGTATTCCCGTTTCCAACGAAATCCTCAAAGCCAGCCAAATATCCACTTGCAGATTCCACAAAAAGAGTGTTTCAAAACTGCTCTCTCAAAAGAAATGTTCAACTCTGTCAGTTGAGGACACACATCACAAATAAGTTTCTGAGAATGCTTCTGTCTAGTTTTTATGGGAAGATATTTCCTTTTTCACCATAGGCCTCAAAGCGCTCCAAATGTCCCCTTCCAGGTAATGGAAAAAGAGTGTTTCAAACCTGCTCTATGAAAGCGAATGTTCAACTCTGTGACTTGAATGCAACCATCACAAGGAAGTTTCTGAGAATGCTTCTGTCTAGATTTTATATGAAGATATTCCCGTTTCCAACGAAATCCTCAAAGCTATCCAAATATCCACTTGGAGATTCTACAAAAAGAGTGTTTCAAAACTGTTCTATCAAAAGAAAGGTTCTACTCCGTCAGTTGAGGACACACATCACGAATAAGTTTCTGACAATGCTTCTGTCTAGTTTTTATGGGAAGATATGTCCTTTTTCACCTTAGGCCGGAAAGCGCTCCAAAAGTCCAGTTACAGACACTACAAAAAGAGTGTTTCAAACCTGCTCTGTGAAAGGGAATGTTCAATTCTGTGACTTGAATGCAAACATCACAAAGAAGTTGCTGAGAATGCTGCTGTCTGCTTTTTATATGTAATCCCGTTTCCAACGAAATGCTCAAATCTAGCCAAATATCCACTTGCAAATTCCACAAAAAGAGTGTTTCAAAACTGTTCTGTCTAAAGAAATGTTCAACTGTGTTAGTTGAGGACACACATCAGAAACTAGTTTCTGAGAATGCTTCTGTCTAGTTGTTATGGGAAGATATATCCTTTTTCAACACAAGCCTGAATGCGCTCCGAATGGACACTTCCAGATATGAGAAAAGGAGTGTTTCAAACCTGTTCTATCAAAGGGAATGTTCAATTCTGTGACTTGAATGCAAACATCACCAAGAAGTTTCTCAGAACGCTGCTGTCTGCTTTTTATATGTATTCCCGTTTCCAACGAAATCGTCAAAGCCAGCCAAATATCCACTTGCAGGTTCCACAGAAAGAGTGTTTCAGAACTGCTCTCTCAAAAGACATGTTCAACTCTGTCAGTTGAGGACACACATCACAAAGAAGTTTCTGAGAATGCTTCTGTCTAGTTTTTATGGGAAGATGTTTCCTTTTTCACCATAGGCCTCAAAGCGCTCCAAATGTCCACTTCCAGGGAATGGAAAAAGAGTGTTTCCAACCTGCTCTATGAAAGCCAATGTTCAACTCCGTGACTTGAATGCAACCATCACAAGGAAGTTTCTGAGAATGCTTCTGTCTAGATTTTATATGAAGATATTCCCGTTTCCAACGAAATCCTCAAAGCTATCCAAATATCCACTTGCAGATTCTACAAAAAGAGTGTTTCAAAACTGCTCTATCAAAAGAAAGATTCTACTCCGTTGGTTGAGGACACACATCACAAACAAGTTGCTGAGAATGCCTCTGTCTAGTTTTTATGGGAAGATATGTCCTTTTTCACCTTAGGCCGGAAAGCGCTCCAAAAGTCCAGTTACAGACACTACAAAAAGAGTGTTTCAAACCTGCTCTGTGAAAGGGAATGTTCAATTCTGTGACTTGAATGCAAACATCACAAAGAAGTTGCTGAGAATGCTGCTGTCTGCTTTTTATACCTTATCGCGTTTCCAACGAAATCCTCAAATCCAGCCAAATATCCACTTGCAGACTCCACAAAAAGAGTGTTTCAAAACTATACTCTCCAAAGAAATGTTCAACTCTGTTAGTTGAGGACACACATCAGAGACTAGCTTCTGAGAATGCTTCTGTCCAGTTGTTACGGGAAGATATTTCCTTTTTCAACATAGGCCTGAAACCACTTCAAATGTCCACTTCCAGATACTGCAAAGAGAGTGTTTCAAACCTTCTCTACGAAAGGGCATGTTCTCCTCTGTGACGTCAATGCAAACATCCCAAAGAAGTTTCTGAGAATGCTTCTGTCTGGATTTTATCTGAAGACAATCCCATTTCCAACGAAATCCTCAAAGCTATGCAAATATCCTCCTGCAGATTCTACAAAAAGAGTGTTTCAAAACTGCTCTATGAAAAGAAAGGTTCAACTCTGTTAGTAGAGGGCACACATCACAAACAAGTTGCTGAGAATGCTTCTGTCTAGTTTTTATGGGAAGATATTTCCTTTTTCAACACAAGCCTGAATGCGCTCGAAATGGACACTTCCAGTTACGACAAAAGGAGAGTTTCAAACCTGTTCTATGAAAGGGAACTTTCCATTCAGTGACTTGAATGCAAACATCACCAAGAAGTTTCTCAGAACGCTGCTGTCTGCTTTTTATATGTATTCCCGTTTCCAACGAAGTCGTCAAAGCCAGCCAAATATCCACTTGCAGATTCCACAAAAAGAGTGTTTCAAAACTGCTCTCTCAAAAGAAATGTTCAACTCTGTCAGGTGAGGACACACATCACAAATAAGTTTCTGAGAATGCTTCTGTCTAGTTTTGAGGGGAAAATATTTCCTTTTTCACCATAGGCCTCGAAGCGCTCCAAATGTCCACTTCCAGGGAATGCAAAAAGAGTGTTTCCATCCTGCTCTATGAAAGCGAATGTTCAACTCCGTGACTTGAATGCAACCATCACAAGGAAGTTTCTGAGAATGCTTCTGTCTTGATTTTATATGAAGATATTTCCGTTTCCAACGAAATCCTCAAAGCTATCCAAATATCCACTTGCAGATTCTACAAAAAGAGTGTTTCAAAACTGCTCTATCAAAAGAAAGGTTCTACTCCGTTAGTTGAGGACACACATCACGAGTAAGTTTCTGAGAATGCTTCTGTCTGGTTTTTATGGGAAGATATGTCCTTTTTCACCATAGGCCGTAAAGCGCTCCAAATGTCCACTTACAGACACTTCAAATAGAGTGTTTCAAACCTGCTCTGTGAAAGGGAATGTTTAATTCTGTGACTTGAATGCAAACATCACAAAGAAGTTTCTGAGAATGCTGCTGTCGGCTTTTTATATGTAATCCCGTTTCCAAAGAAATCCTAAAAATCTAGCCAAATATCCACTTGCAGACTCCACAAAAAGAGTGTTTCAAAACTTTTCTGTCTACAGAAATCTTCAACTCTGTTAGTTGAGGACACACATTAGAGACTATCTTCTGAGAATGCTTCTGTCCAGTTTTTAAGGGAAGATATTTCCTTTTTCAACTTAGGCCTGAAACTGCTCCAAATGTCCACTTCCAGATACTACAAAGAGAATGTTTCAAACCTTCTCTACGAAAGGGCATGTTCTCCTCTGTGACTTGTATGCAAACATCCCAAGGAAGTTTCTGAGAATGCTGCTGTCTGCTTTTTATATGTATTCCCGTTTCCAACGAAATCCTCAAAGCCAGCCAAATATCCACTTGCAGATTCCACAAAAAGAATGTTTCAAAACTGCTCTCTCAAAAGAAATGTTCAACTCTGTCAGTTGAGGACACACATCACAAATAAGTTTCTGAGAATGCTTCTGTCTAGTTTCTTTGGGAAGATATTTCCTTTTTCACCATAGGCCTCAAAGCGCTCCAAATGTCCACTTCCAGGTAATGGAAAAAGAGTGTTTCAAACATGCTCTATGAAAGCGAATGTTCAACTCTGTGACTTGAATGCAACCATCACAAGGAAGTTTCTGATAATACTTCTGTCTAGGTTTTATATGAAGATATTCCCGTTTCCAACGAAATCCTCAAAGCTATCCAAATATCCACTTGGAGATTCTACAAAAAGAGTGTTTCAAAACTGCTCTATCAAAAGAAAGGTTCTACTCCGTCTGTTGAGGACACACATCACGAGTAAGTTTCTGACAATGCTTCTGTCTAGTTTTTATGGGAAGATATGTCCTTTTTCACCTTAGGCCGGAAAGCGCTCCAAAAGTCCAGTTACAGACACTACAAAAAGATTGTTTCAAACCTGCTCTGTGAAAGGGAATGTTCAATTCTGTAACTTGAATGCAAAGATCACAAAGAAGTTGCTGAGAATGCTGCTGTCTGCTTTTTGTACCTTATCCCGTTTCCAACGAAATCCTCAAATCCAGCCAAATATCCACTTGCAGACTCCACAAAAAGAGTGTTTCAAAACTATACTCTCCAAAGAAATGTTCAACTCTGTTAGTTGAGGACACACATCAGAGACTAGCTTCTGAGAATGCTTCTGTCCAGTTGTTACGGGAAGATATTTCCTTTTTCAACATAGGCCTGAAACCGCTTCAAATGTCCACTTCCAGATACTGCAAAGAGAGTGTTTCAAACCTTCTCTACGAAAGGGCATGTTCTCCTCAGTGACGTCAATGCAAACATCCCAAAGAAGTTTCTGAGAATGCTTCTGTCTGGATTTTATCTGAAGACAATCCCGTTTCCAACGAAATCCTCAAAGCTATGCAAATATGCTCCTGCAGATTCTACAAAAAGAGTGTTTCAAAACTGCTCTATGAATAGAAAGGTTCGACTCTGTTAGTAGAGGGCACACATCACAAACAAGTTGCCGAGAAGGCTTCTGTCTAGTTTTTATGGGAAGATATTTCCTTTTTCAACACAAGCCTGAATGCGATCCAAATGGACACTTCCAGATACGACAAAAGGAGAGTTTCAAACCTGTTCTGTGAAAGGGAACGTTCCCGTTCTGTGACTTGAATGCAAACATCACCAAGTAGTTTCTCAGAACGCTGCTGTCTGCGTTTTATATGTATTCCCGTTTCCAACAAAATCGTCAAAGCCAGCCAAATATCCACTTGCAGATTCCACAAAAAGAGTGTTTCAAAACTGCTCGCTCAAAAGAAATGTTCAACAATGTCAGTTGAGGACACACATCACAAATAAGTTTCTGAGAACGCTTCTGTCTAGTTTTTTTGGGAAGATATTTCCTTTTTCACCATAGGCCTCAAAGCGCTCCAAATGTCCACTTCCAGGTAATGGAAAAAGAGTGTTTCAAACATGCTCTATGAAAGCGAATGTTCAACTCTGTGACTTGAATGCAACCATCACAAGGAAGTTTCTGATAATACTTCTCTCTAGATTTTATACGAAGATATTCCCGTTTCCAAGGAAATCCACAAAGCTATCAAAATATCCACTTGCAGATTCTACAAAAAGAGTGTTTCAAAACTGCTCTATCAAAAGAAAGGTTCTACCCCTTTAGTTGAGGACACACATCACGAGTAAGTTTCTGAGAATGCTTCTGTCTAGTTTTTATGGGAAGATATGTCCTTTTTCACCTTAGGCCGGAAAGCGCTCCAAAAGTCCAGTTACAGACACTACAAAAAGAGTGTTTCAAACCTGCTCTGTGAAAGGGAATGTTCAATTCTGTAACTTGAATGCAAAGATCACAAAGAAGTTGCTGAGAATGCTGCTGTCTGCTTTTTGTACCTTATCCCGTTTCCAACGAAATCCTCAAATCCAGCCAAATATCCACTTGCAGACTCCACAAAAAGAGTGTTTCAAAACTATACTCTCCAAAGAAATGTTCAACTCTGTTAGTTGAGGACACACATCAGAGACTAGCTTCTGAGAATGCTTCTGTCCAGTTGTTACGGGAAGATATTTCCTTTTTCAACATAGGCCTGAAACCGCTTCAAATGTCCACTTCCAGATACTGCAAAGAGAGTGTTTCAAACCTTCTCTACGAAAGGGCATGTTCTCCTCTGTGACGTCAATGCAAACATCCCAAAGAAGTTTCTGAGAATGCTTCTGTCTGGATTTTATCTGAAGACAATCCCGTTTCCAACGAAATCCTCAAAGATATGCAAATATGCTCCTGCAGATTCTACAAAAAGAGTGTTTCAAAACTGCTCTATGAAAAGAAAGGTTCGACTCTGTTAGTAGAGGGCACACATCACAAACAAGTTGCCGAGAATGCTTCTGTCTGGTTTTTATGGGAAGATATTTCCTTTTCCAACACAAGCCTGAATGCGCTCCAAATGGACACTTCCAGATACGACAAAAGGAGTGTTTCAAACCTGTTCTGTGAAAGGGAACGTTCCATTCTGTGACTTGAATGCAAACATCACCAAGTAGTTTCTCAGAACGCTGCTGTCTGCTTTTTATATGTATTCCCGTTTCCAACGAAATCGTCAAAGCCAGCCAAATATCCACTTGCAGGTTCCACAGAAAGAGTGTTTCAAAACTGCTCTCTCAAAAGACATGTTCAACTCTGTCAGTTGAGGACACACATCACAAAGAAGTTTCTGAGAATGCTTCTGTCTAGTTTTTATGGGAAGATATTTCCTTTTTCACCATAGGCCTCAAAGCGCTCCAAATGTCCACTTCCAGGGAATGGAAAAAGAGTGTTTCCAACCTACTGTATGAAAGCCAATGTTCAACTCCGTGACTTGAATGCAACCATCACAAGGAAGTTTCTGAGAATGCTTCTGTCTAGGTTTTATATGAAGATATTCCCGTTTCCAACGAAATCCTCAAAGCTATCCAAATATCCACTTGGAGATTCTACAAAAAGAGTGTTTCAAAACTGCTCTATCAAAAGAAAGGTTCTACTCCGTCAGTTGAGGACACACATCACGAGTAAGTTTCTGACAATGCTTCTGTCTAGTTTTTATGGGAAGATATTTCCTTTTTCACCTGAGGCCGGAAAGCGCTCCAAATGTCCACTTCCAGATACTACAAAAGGAGTGATTCAAACCTGCTCTATGATAGGGAATGTTCAACTCTGTGTCCTGAATACAAACATCACAAAGATGTTTCTCAGAACCCTGCTGTCTGCTTTTTATATGTAATCCCGTTTCCAACGAAATGCTCAAATCTAGCCAAATATCCACTTGCAAATTCCACAAAAAGAGTGTTTCAAAACTGTTCTGTCTAAAGAAATGTTCAACTGTGTTAGTTGACGACACACATCAGAAACTAGTTTCTGAGAATGCTTCTGTCTAGTTGTTATGGGAAGATATATCCTTTTTCAACACAAGCCTGAATGCGCTCCGAATGGACACTTCCAGATATGAGAAAAAGAGTGTTTCAAACCTGTTCCATCAAAGGGAATGTTCAATTCTGTGACTTGAATGCAAACATCACCAAGAAGTTTCTCAGAACGCTGCTGTCTGCTTTTTATATGTATTCCCGTTTCCAACGAAATCCTCAAAGCCAGCCAAATATCCACTTGCAGATTCCACAAAAAGAGTGTTTCAAAACTGCTCTCTCAAAAGAAATGTTCAACTCTGTCAGTTGAGGACACACATCACAAATAAGTTTCTGAGAATGCTTCTGTCTAGTTTTTATGGGAAGATATTTCCTTTTTCACCATAGGCCTCAAAGCGCTCCAAATGTCCACTTCCAGGGAATGGAAAAAGAGTGTTTCCAACCTGCTCTATGAAAGCCAATGTTCAACTCCGTGACTTGAATGCAACCATCACAAGGAAGTTTCTGAGAATGCTTCTGTCTAGGTTTTATATGAAGATATTCCCGTTTCCAACGAAATCCTCAAAGCTATCCAAATATCCACTTGGAGATTCTACAAAAAGAGTGTTTCAAAACTGCTCTATCAAAAGAAAGGTTCTACTCCGTCAGTTGAGGACACACATCACGAGTAAGTTTCTGACAATGCTTCTGTCTAGTTTTTATGGGAAGATATGTCCTTTTTCACCTTAGGCCGGAAAGCGCTCCAAAAGTCCAGTTACAGACACTACAAAAAGAGTGTTTCAAACCTGCTCTGTGAAAGGGAATGTTCAATTCTGTGACTTGAATGCAAACATCACAAAGAAGTTGCTGAGAATGCTGCTGTGTGCTTTTTATATGTAATCCCGTTTCCAACGAAATGCTCAAATCTAGCCAAATATCCACTTGCAGATTCCACAAAAAGAGTGTTTCAAAACTGTTCTGTCTAAAGAAATGTTCAACTGTGTTAGTTGAGGACACACATCAGAAACTAGTTTCTGAGAATGCTTCTGTCTAGTTGTTATGGGAAGATATTTCCTTTTTCAACACAAGCCTGAATGCGCTCCAAATGGACACTTCCAGATATGAGAAAAGGAGTGTTTCAAACCTGTTCTATCAAAGGGAATGTTCAATTCTGTGACTTGAATGCAAACATCACCAAGAAGTTTCTCAGAACGCTGCTGTCTGCTTTTTATATGTATTCCCGTTTCCAACGAAATCCTCAAAGCCAGCCAAATATCCACTTGCAGATTCCACAAAAAGAGTGTTTCAAAACTGCTCTCTCAAAAGAAATGTTCAACTCTGTCAGTTGAGGACACACATCACAAATAAGTTTCTGAGAATGCTTCTGTCTAGTTTTTTTGGGAAGATATTTCCTTTTTCACCATAGGCCTCAAAGCGCTCCAAAAGTCCACTTCCAGGTAATGGAAAAAGAGTGTTTCAAACATGCTCTATGAAAGCGAATGTTCAACTCTGTGACTTGAATGCAACAATCACAAGGAAGTTTCTGATAATACTTCTGTCTAGGTTTTATATGAAGATATTCCCGTTTCCAACGAAATCCTCAAAGCTATCCAAATATCCACTTGGAGATTCTACAAAAAGAGTGTTTCAAAACTGCTCTATCAAAAGAAAGGTTCTACTCCGTCAGTTGAGGACACACATCACGAGTAAGTTTCTGACAATGCTTCTGTCTAGTTTTTATGGGAAGATATGTCCTTTTTCACCTTAGGCCGGAAAGCGCTCCAAAAGTCCAGTTACAGACACTACAAAAAGAGTGTTTCAAACCTGCTCTGTGAAAGGGAATGTTCAATTCTGTGACTTGAATGCAAACATCACAAAGAAATTGCTGAGAATGCTGCTGTCTGCTTTTTATACCTTATCGCGTTTCCAACGAAATCCTCAAATCCAGCCAAATATCCACTTGCAGACTCCACAAAAAGAGTGTTTCAAAACTGTACTGTCAAAAGAAATGTTCAACTCTGTTAGTTGAGGACACACATCAGAGACTAGCTTCTGAGAATGCTTCTGTCCAGTTGTTACGGGAAGATATTTCCTTTTTCTAAATAGGCCTGAAACCGCTTCAAATGTCCGCTTCCAGATACTGCAAAGGGAGTGTTTCAAACCTTCTCTACGAAAGGGCATGTTCTCCTCTGTGACGTCAATGCAAACATCCCAAAGAAGTTTCTGAGAATGCTTCTGTCTGGATTTTATCTGAAGACAATCCCGTTTCCAACGAAATCCTCAAAGATATGCAAATATGCTCCTGCAGATTCTACAAAAAGAGTGTTTCAAAACTGCTCTATGAAAAGAAAAGTTCGACTCTGTTAGTAGAGGGCACACATCACAAACAAGTTGCCGAGAATGCTTCTGTCTGATTTTTTTGGGAAGATATTTCCTTTTCCAACACAAGCCTGAATGCGCTCCAAATGGACACTTCCAGATACGACAAAAGGAGTGTTTCAAACCTGTTCTGTGAAAGGGAACGTTCCATTCTGTGACTTGAATGCAAACATCACCAAGTAGTTTCTCAGAACGCAGCTGTCTGCTTTTTATATGTATTCCCGTTTCCAACGAAATCGTCAAACCAGCTAAATATCCACTTGCAGGTTCCACAGAAAGAGTGTTTCAAAACTGCTCTCTCAAAAGACATGTTCAACTCTGTCAGTTGAGGACACACATCACAATGAAGTTTCTGAGAATGCTTCTGTCTAGTTTTTATGGGAAGATATTTCCTTTTTCACCATAGTCCTCAAAGCGCTCCAAATGTCCACTTCCAGGGAATGGAAAAAGAGTGTTTCCAACCTACTGTATGAAAGCCAATGTTCAACTCCGTGACTTGAATGCAACCATCACAAGGAAGTTTCTGAGAATGCTTCTGTCTAGGTTTTATATGAAGATATTCCCGTTTCCAACGAAATCCTCAAAGCTATCCAAATATCCACTTGGAGATTCTACAAAAAGAGTGTTTCAAAACTGCTCTATCAAAAGAAAGGTTCTACTCCGTCAGTTGAGGACACACATCACGAGTAAGTTTCTGACAATGCTTCTGTCTAGTTTTTATGGGAAGATATGTCCTTTTTCACCTTAGGCCGGAAAGCGCTCCAAAAGTCCAGTTACAGACACTACAAAAAGAGTGTTTCAAACCTGCTCTGTGAAAGGGAATGTTCAATTCTGTAACTTGAATGCAAAGATCACAAAGAAGTTGCTGAGAATGCTGCTGTCTGCTTTTTATACCTTATCCCGTTTCCAACGAAATCCTCAAATCCAGCCAAATATCCACTTGCAGACTCCACAAAAAGAGTGTTTCAAAACTATACTCTCCAAAGAAATGTTCAACTCTGTTAGTTGAGGACACACATCAGAGACTAGCTTCTGAGAATGCTTCTGTCCAGTTGTTACGAGAAGATATTTCCTTTTTCAACATTGTCTTGAAACTGCTCCATATGTCCACTTCCAGATACTATAAAAAGAGTGTTTCAAACCTTCTCTACGAAAGGGCATGTTCTCCTCTGTGACTTGAATGCAAACATCCCGAAGAAGTTTCTGAGAATGCTTCTGTCTGGATTTTATCTGAAGACAATCCCGTTTCCAACGAAATCCTCAAAGATATGCAAATATGCTCCTGCAGATTCTACAAATAGAGTGTTTCAAAACTGCTCTATGAAAAGAAAAGTTCGACTCTGTTAGTAGAGGGCACACATCACAAACAAGTTGCCGAGAATGCTTCTGTCTGATTTTTTTGGGAAGATATTTCCTTTTCCAACACAAGCCTGAATGCGCTCCAAATGGACACTTCCAGATACGACAAAAGGAGTGTTTCAAACCTGTTCTGTGAAAGGGAACGTTCCATTACTGTGACTTGAATGCAAACATCACCAAGTAGTTTCTCAGAACGCAGCTGTCTGTTTTTATATGTATTCCCGTTTCCAACGAAATCGTCAAAGCCCGCCAAATATCCACTTGCAGGTTCCACAGAAAGAGTGTTTCAAAACTGCTCTCTCAAAAGACATGTTCAACTCTGTCAGTTGAGGACACACATCACAAAGAAGTTTCTGAGAATGCTTCTGTCTAGTTTTTATGGGAAGATGTTTCCTTTTTCACCATAGGCCTCAAAGCGCTCCAAATGTCCACTTCCAGGGAATGGAAAAAGAGTGTTTCCAACCTGCTCTATGAAAGCCAATGTTCAACTCCGTGACATGAATGCAACCATCACAAGGAAGTTTCTGAGAATGCTTCTGTCTAGGTTTTATATGAATATATTCCCGTTTCCAACGAAATCCTCAAAGCTATCCAAATATCCACTTGGAGATTCTACAAAAAGAGTGTTTCAAAACTGCTCTATCAAAAGAAAGGTTCTACTCCGTCAGTTGAGGACACACATCACGAGTAAGTTTCTGACAATGCTTCTGTCTAGTTTTTATGGGAAGATATGTCCTTTTTCACCTTAGGCCGGAAAGCGCTCCAAAAGTCCAGTTACAGACACTACAAAAAGCGTGTTTCAAACCTGCTCTGTGAAAGGGAATGTTCAATTCTGTGACTTGAATGCAAACATCACAAAGAAATTGCTGAGAATGCTGCTGTCTGCTTTTTATATGTAATCCCGTTTCCAACGAAATCCTCAAATCTAGCCCAATATCCACTTGCAGATTCCACAAAAAGAGTGTTTCAAAACTGTTCTGTCTAAAGAAAAGTTCAACTGTGTTAGTTGAGGACACACATCAGAAAATAGTTTCTGAGAATGCTTCTGTCCAGTTGTTACGGGAAGATATTTCCTTTTTCAACATAGGCCTGAAACCGCTTCAAGTGTCCACTTCCAGATACTGCAAAGAGAGTGTTTCAAACCTTCTCTACGAAAGGGCATGTTCTCCTCTGTGACGTCAATGCAAACATCCCAAAGAAGTTTCTGAGAATGCTTCTGTCTGGATTTTATCTGAAGACAATCCCGTTTCCAACGAAATCCTCAAAGATATGCAAATATGCTCCTGCAGATTCTACAAAAAGAGTGTTTCAAAACTGCTCTATGAAAAGAAAAGTTCGACTCTGTTAGTAGAGGGCACACATCACAAACAAGTTGCCGAGAATGCTTCTGTCTGATTTTTTTGGGAAGATATTTCCTTTTCCAACACAAGCCTGAATGCGCTCCAAATGGACACTTCCAGATACGACAAAAGGAGTGTTTCAAACCTGTTCTGTGAAAGGGAACGTTCCATTCTGTGACTTGAATGCAAACATCACCAAGTAGTTTCTCAGAACGCAGCTGTCTGCTTTTTATATGTATTCCCGTTTCCTACGAAATCGTCAAAGCCAGCCAAATATCCACTTGCAGGTTCCACAGAAAGAGTGTTTCAGAACTGCTCTCTGAAAAGACATGTTCAACTCTGTCAGTTGAGGACACACATCACAAAGAAGTTTCTGAGAATGCTTCTGTCTAGTTTTTATGGGAAGATATTTCCTTTTTCACCATAGGCCTCAAAGCGCTCCAAATGTCCACTTCCAGGGAATGGAAAAAGAGTGTTTCCAACCTGCTCTATGAAAGCCAATGTTCAACTCCGTGACTTGAATGCAACCATCACAAGGAAGTTTCTGAGAATGCTTCTGTCTAGGTTTTATATGAAGATATTCCCGTTTCCAACGAAATCCTCAAAGCTATCCAAATATCCACTTGGAGATTCTACAAAAAGAGTGTTTCAAAACTGCTCTATCAAAAGAAAGGTTCTACTCCGTCAGTTGAGGACACACATCACGAGTAAGTTTCTGACAATGCTTCTGTCTAGTTTTTATGGGAAGATATTTCCTTTTTCACCTTAGGCCGGAAAGCGCTCCAAATGTCCACTTACACACACTACAAAAAGAGTGTTTCATATCTGCTCTGTGAAAGGGAATGTTCAATTCTGTGACTTGAATGCAATCATCACAAAGAACTTTCTGAGAATGCCGCTGTCTGCTTTTTATATGTAATCCCGTTTCCAACGAAATGCTCAAATCTAGCCAAATATCCACTTGCAAATTCCACAAAAAGAGTGTTTCAAAACTGTTCTGTCTAAAGAAATGTTCAACTGTGTTAGTTGAGGACACACATCAGAATCTAGTTTCTGAGAATGCTTCTGTCTAGTTGTTATGGGAAGATATATCCTTTTTCAACACAAGCCTGAATGCGCTCCGAATGGACACTTCCAGATATGAGAAAAGGAGTGTTTCAAACCTGTTCTATCAAAGGGAATGTTCAATTCTGTGACTTGAATGCAAACATCACCAAGAAGTTTCTCAGAACGCTGCTGTCTGCTTTGTATATGTATTCCCGTTTCCAACGAAATCCTCAAAGTCAGCCAAATATCCACTTGCAGATTCCACAAAAAGACTGTTTCAAAACTGCTCTCTCAAAAGAAATGTTCAACTCTCTCAGTTGAGGACACACATCACAAATAAGTTTCTGAGAATGCTTCTGTCTAGTTTTTTTGGGAAGATATTTCCTTTTTCACCATAGGCCTCAAAGCGCTCCAAAAGTCCACTTCCAGGTAATGGAAAAAGAGTGTTTCAAACATGCTCTATGAAAGCGAATGTTCAACTCTGTGACTTGAATGCAACCATCACAAGGAAGTTTCTGATAATACTTCTGTCTAGGTTTTATATGAAGATATTCCCGTTTCCAACGAAATCCTCAAAGCTATCCAAATATCCACTTGGAGATTCTACAAAAAGAGTGTTTCAAAACTGCTCTATCAAAAGAAAGGTTCTACTCCGTCAGTTGAGGACACACATCACGAGTAAGTTTCTGACAATGCTTCTGTCTAGTTTTTATGGGAAGATATTTCCTTTTTCACCTGAGGCCGGAAAGCGCTCCAAATGTTCACTTCCAGATACTACAAAAGGAGTGATTCAAACCTGCTCTATGATAGGGAATGTTCAACTCTGTGTCCTGAATACAAACATCACAAATATGTTTCTCAGAACGCTGCTGTGTGCTTTTTATATGTAATCCCGTTTCCAACGAAATGCTCAAATCTAGCCAAATATCCACTTGCAGATTCCACAAAAAGAGTGTTTCAAAACTGTTCTGTCTAAAGAAATGTTCAACTGTGTTAGCTGAGGACACACATCAGAAACTAGTTTCTGAGAATGCTTCTGTCTAGTTGCTATGGGAAGATATTTCCTTTTTCAACACAAGCCTGAATGCGCTCCAAATGGACACTTCCAGATATGACAAAAGGAGTGTTTCAACCCTGTTCTATCAAAGGGAATGTTCAATTCTGTGACTTGAATGCAAACATCACCAAGAAGTTTCTCAGAACGCTGCTGTCTGCTTTTTATATGTATTCCCGTTTCCAACGAAATCCTCAAAGCCAGCCAAATATCCACTTGCAGATTCCACAAAAAGAGTGTTTCAAAACTGCTCTCTCAAAAGAAATGTTCAACTCTGTCAGTTGAGGACACACATCACAAATAAGTTTCTGAGAATGCTTCTGTCTAGTTTTTTTGGGAAGATATTTCCTTTTTCACCATAGGCCTCAAAGCGCTCCAAAAGTCCACTTCCAGGTAATGGAAAAAGAGTGTTTCAAACATGCTCTATGAAAGCGAATGTTTAACTCTGTGACTTGAATGCAACCATCACAAGGAAGTTTCTGATAATACTTCTCTCTAGATTTTATATGAAGATATTCCCGTTTCCAACGAAATCCACAAAGCTATCGAAATATCCACTTGCAGATTCTACAAAAAGAGTGTTTCAAAACTGCTCTATCAAAAGAAAGGTTCTACCCCTTTAGTTGAGGACACACATCACGAGTAAGTTTCTGAGAATGCTTCTGTCTAGTTTTTATGGGAAGATATGTCCTTTTTCACCTTAGGCCGGAAAGCGCTCCAAAAGTCCAGTTACAGACACTACAAAAAGAGTGTTTCAAACCTGCTCTGTGAAAGGGAATGTTCAATTCTGTGACTTGAATGCAAACATCACAAAGAAATTGCTGAGAATGCTGCTGTCTGCTTTTTATACCTTATCGCGTTTCCAACGAAATCCTCAAATCCAGCCAAATATCCACTTGCAGACTCCACAAAAAGAGTGTTTCAAAACTATACTCTCCAAAGAAATGTTCAACTCTGTTAGTTGAGGACACACATCAGAGACTAGCTTCTGAGAATGCTTCTGTCCAGTTGTTACGGGAAGATATTTCCTTTTTCAACATAGGCCTGAAACCGCTTCAAATGTCCACTTCCAGATACTGCAAAGAGAGTGTTTCAAACCTTCTCTACGAAAGGGCATGTTCTCCTCTGTGACGTCAATGCAAACATCCCAAAGAAGTTTCTGAGAATGCTTCTGTCTGGATTTTATCTGAAGACAATCCCGTTTCCAACGAAATCCTCAAAGCTATCCAAATATGCTCCTGCAGATTCTACAAAAAGAGTGTTTCAAAACTGCTCTATGAATAGAAAGGTTCGACTCTGTTAGTAGAGGGCACACATCACAAACAAGTTGCCGAGAAGGCTTCTGTCTAGTTGTTATGGGAAGATATTTCCTTTTTCAACACAAGCCTGAATGCGCTCCAAATGGACACTTCCAGATATGACAAAAGGAGTGTTTCAAACCTGTTCTATTAAAGGGAATGTTCAATTCTGTGACTTGAATGCAAACATCACCAAGAAGTTTCTCAGAACGCTGCTGTCTGCTTTTTATATGTATTCGCGTTTCCAACGAAATCCTCAAAGCCAGCCAAATATCCACTTGCAGATTCCACAAAAAGAGTGTTTCAAAACTGCTCTCTCAAAAGTAATGTTCAACTCTGTCAGTTGAGGACACACATCACAAATAAGTTTCTGAGAATGCTTCTGTCTAGTTTTTATGGGAAGATATGTCCTTTTTCACCTTAGGCCAGAAAGCGCTCCAAACGTCCACTTACAGACACTACAAAAAGAGTGTTTCAAAACTGCTCTGTGAAAGGGAATGTTCAATTCTGTGACTTGAATGCAAACATCACAAAGAAGTTTCTGAGAATGCTCCTGTCTGCTTTTTATACGTAATCCCGTTTCCAACGAAATCCTCAAATCTAGCCAAATATCCACTTACAGACTGCACAAAAAGAGTGTTTCAAAACTGTTCTGTCTAAAGAAATGTTGAACTCTGTTAGGTGAGGGCACACATGAAAGACTAGCTTCTGAGTATGCTTCTGTCCAGTTGTTACGAGAAGATATTTCCTTTTTCAACATTGTCTTGAAACTGCTCCATATGTCCACTTCCAGATACTATAAAAAGAGTGTTTCAAACCTTCTCTACGAAAGGGCATGTTCTCCTCTGTGACTTGAATGCAAACATCCCGAAGAAGTTTCTGAGAATGCTTCTGTCTGGATTTTATCTGAAGACAATCCCGTTTCCAACGAAATCCTCAAAGATATGCAAATATGCTCCTGCAGATTCTACAAAAAGAGTGTTTCAAAACTGCTCTATGAAAAGAAAAGTTCGACTCTGTTAGTAGAGGGCACACATCACAAACAAGTTGCCGAGAATGCTTCTGTCTAGTTGTTATGGGAAGATATTTCCTTTTTCAACACAAGCCTGAATGCGCTCCAAATGGACACTTCCAGATATGACAAAAGGAGTGTTTCAAACATGTTGTATCAAAGGGAATGTTCAGTTTTGTGACTTGAATGCAAACATCACCAAAAAGTTTCTCAGAACGCTGCTGTCTGCTTTTTATATGTATTCCCGTTTCCAACGAAATCCTCAAAGCCAGCCAAATATCCACTTGCAGATTCCACAAAAAGAGTGTTTCAAAACTGCTCTCTCAAAAGAAATGTTCAACTCTGTCAGTTGAGGACACACATCACAAATAAGTTTCTGAGAATGCTTCTGTCTAGATTTTTGGGAAGATATTTCCTTTTTCACCATAGGCCTCAAAGCGCTCCAAATGTCCACTTCCAGGTAATGGAAAAAGAGTGTTTCAAACATGCTCTATGAAAGCGAATGTTCAACTCTGTGACTTGAATGCAACCATCACAAGGAAGTTTCTGATAATGCTTCTGTCTAGGTTTTATATGAAGATATTCCCGTTTCCAACGAAATCCTCAAAGCTACCCAAATATCCACTTGGAGATTCTACAAAAAGAGTGTTTCAAAACTGCTCTATCAAAAGAAAGGTTCTACTCCGTCAGTTGAGGACACACATCACGAGTAAGTTTCTGACAATGCTTCTGTCTAGTTTTTATGGGAAGATATTTCCTTTTTCACCTTAGGCCGGAAAGCGCTCCAAATGTCCACTTACACACACTACAAAAAGAGTGTTTCATATCTGCTCTGTGAAAGGGAATGTTCAATTCTGTGACTTGAATGCAATCATCACAAAGAACTTTCTGAGAATGCCGCTGTCTGCTTTTTATACCTTATCCCGTTTCCAACGAAATCCTCAAATCCAGCCAAATATCCACTTGCAGACTCCACAAAAAGAGTGTTTCAAAACTGTACTGTCAAAAGAAATGTTCAACTCTGTTAGTTGAGGACACACATCAGAGACTAGCTTCTGAGAATGCTTCTGTCCAGTTGTTACGGGAAGATATTTCCTTTTTCAACATAGGCCTGAAACCGCTTCAAATGTCCACTTCCAGATACTGCAAAGAGAGTGTTTCAAACCTTCTCTACGAAAGGGCATGTTCTCCTCTGTGACGTCAATGCAAACATCCCAAAGAACTTTCTGAGAATGCTTCTGTCTGGATTTTATCTGAAGACAATCCCGTTTCCAACGAAATCCTCAAAGCTATGCAAATATCCTCCTGCAGGTTCTACAAAAAGAGTGTTTCAAAACTGCTGTATGAAAAGAAAGGTTCAACTCTGTTAGTAGAGGTCACACATCACAAACAAGTTGCTGAGAATGCTTCTGTCTAGTTTTTATGGGAAGATATTTCCTTTTTCAACACAAGCCTGAATGCGATCCAAATGGACACTTCCAGATACGACAAAAGGAGTGTTTCAAACCTGTTCTATGAAAGGGAACGTTCCATTGCTGTGACTTGAATGCAAACATCAACAAGTAGTTTCTCATAACGCTGCTGTCTGCTTTTTATATGTATTCCCGTTTCCAACGAAATCGTCAAAGCCAGCCAAATATCCACTTGCAGGTTCCACAGAAAGAGTGTTTCAGAACTGCTCTCTCAAAAGACATGTTCAACTCTGTCAGTTGAGGACACACATCACAAAGAAGTTTCTGAGAATGCTTCTGTCTAGTTTTTTTGGGAAGATATTTCCTTTTTCACCATAGGCCTCAAAGCGCTCCAAAAGTCCACTTCCAGGTAATGGAAAAAGAGTGTTTCAAACATGCTCTATGAAAGCGAATGTTCAACTACTGTGACTTGAATGCAACCATCACAAGGAAGTTTCTGATAATACTTCTGTCTAGGTTTTATATGAAGATATTCCCGTTTCCAACGAAATCCTCAAAGCTATCCAAATATCCACTTGGAGATTCTACAAAAAGAGTGTTTCAAAACTGCTCTATCAAAAGAAAGGTTCTACTCCGTCAGTTGAGGACACACATCACGAGTAAGTTTCTGACAATGCTTCTGTCTAGTTTTTATGGGAAGATATGTCCTTTTTCACCTTAGGCCGGAAAGCGCTCCAAAAGTCCAGTTACAGACACTACAAAAAGAGTGTTTCAAACCTGCTCTGTGAAAGGGAATGTTCAATTCTGTGACTTGAATGCAAACATCACAAAGAAGTTGCTGAGAATGCTGCTGTCTGCTTTTTATACCTTATCCCGTTTCCAACGAAATCCTCAAATCCAGCCAAATATCCACTTGCAGACTCCACAAAAAGAGTGTTTCAAAACTGTACTGTCAAAAGAAATGTTCAACTCTGTTAGTTGAGGACACACATCAGAGACTAGCTTCTGAGAATGCTTCTGTCCAGTTGTTACGGGAAGATATTTCCTTTTTCAACATAGGCCTGAAACCACTTCAAATGTCCACTTCCAGATACTACAAAGAGAGTGTTTCAAACCTTCTCTACGAAAGGGCATGTTCTCCTCAGTGACGTCAATGCAAACATCCCAAAGAAGTTTCTGAGAATGCTTCTGTCTGGATTTTATCTGAAGACAATCCCGTTTCCAAAGAAATCCTCAAAGATATGCAAATATGCTCCTTCAGATTCTACAAAAGGAGTGTTTCAAAACTGCTCTATGAATAGAAAGGTTCGACTCTGTTAGTAGAGGGCACACATCACAAACAAGTTGCCGAGAAGGCTTCTGTCTAGTTGTTATGGGAAGATATTTCCTTTTTCAACACAAGCCTGAATGCGCTCCAAAGGGACACTTCCAGATATGACAAAAGGAGTGTTTCAAACCTGTTCTATTAAAGGGAATGTTCAATTCTGTGACTTGAATGCAAACATCACCAAGAAGTTTCTCAGAACGCTGCTGTCTGCTTTTTATATGTATTCCCGTTTCCAACGAAATCCTCAAAGCCAGCCAAATATCCACTTGCAGATTCCACAAAAAGAGTGTTTCAAAACTGCTCTCTCAAAAGAAATGTTCAACTCTGTCAGTTGAGGACACACATCACAAATAAGTTTCTGAGAATGCTTCTGTCTAGTTTTTTTGGGAAGATATTTCCTTTTTCACCATAGGCCTCAAAGTGCTCCAAATGTCCACTTCCAGGTAATGGAAAAAGAGTGTTTCAAACATGCTCTATGAAAGCGAATGTTCAACTCTGTGACTTGAATGCAACCATCACAAGGAAGTTTCTGATAATGCTTCTTTCTAGATTTTATATGAAGATATTCCCGTTTCCAACGAAATCCACAAAGCTATCGAAATATCCACTTGCAGATTCTACAAAAAGAGTGTTTCAAAACTGCTCTATCAAAAGAAAGGTTCTACCCCTTTAGTTGAGGACACACATCACGAGTAAGTTTCTGAGAATGCTTCTGTCTAGTTTTTATGGGAAGATATGTCCTTTTTCACCTGAGGCCGGAAAGCGCTCCAAAAGTCCAGTTACAGACACTACAAAAAGAGTGTTTCAAACCTGCTCTGTGAAAGGGAATGTTCAATTCTGTGACTTGAATGCAAACATCACAAAGAAATTGCTGAGAATGCTGCTATCTGCTTTTTATACCTTATCCCGTTTCCAACGAAATCCTCAAATCCAGCCAAATATCCACTTGCAGACTGCACAAAAAGAGTGTTTCAAAACTGTACTGTCAAAAGAAATGTTCAACTCTGTTAGTTGAGGACACACATCAGAGACTAGCTTCTGAGAATGCTTCTGTCCAGTTGTTACGGGAAGATATTTCCTTTTTCAACATAGGCCTGAAACCGCTTCAAATGTCCACTTCCAGATACTGCAAAGAGAGTGTTTCAAACCTTCTCTACGAAAGGGCATGTTCTCCTCAGTGACGTCAATGCAAACATCCCAAAGAAGTTTCTGAGAATGCTTCTGTCTGGATTTTATCTGAAGACAATCCCGTTTCCAACGAAATCCTCAAAGATATGCAAATATGCTCCTGCAGATTCTACAAAAAGAGTGTTTCCAAACTGCTCTATGAATAGAAAGGTTCGACTCTGTTAGTAGAGGGCACACATCACAAACAAGTTGCCGAGAATGCTTCTGTCTAGTTGTTATGGGAAGATATTTCCTTTTTCAACACAAGCCTGAATGCGCTCCAAATGGACACTTCCAGATATGACAAAAGGAGTGTCTCAAACCTGTTGTATCAAAGGGAATGTTCAGTTTTGTGACTTGAATGCAAACATCACCAAAAAGTTTCTCAGAACGCTGCTGTCTGCTTTTTATATGTATTCCCGTTTCCAACGAAATCCTCAAAGCCAGCCAAATATCCACTTGCAGATTCCACAAAAAGAGTGTTTCAAAACTGCTCTCTCAAAAGAAATGTTCAACTCTGTCAGTTGAGGACACACATCACAAATAAGTTTCTGAGAATGCTTCTGTCTAGTTTTTATGGGAAGATATTTCCTTTTTCACCATAGGCCTCAAACCGCTCCACATGTCCACTTCCAGGGAATGGAAAAAGAGTGTTTCCAACCTGCTCTATGAAAGCGAATGTTCAACTCCGTGACTTGAATGCAAACATCACAAGGAAGTTTCTGAGAATGCTTCTGTCTAGATTTTATATGAAGATATTCCCGTTTCCAACGAAATCCTCAAATCTATCCAAATATCCGCTTTGAGATTCTACAAAAAGAGTGTTTCAAAACTGCTCTATCAAAAGAAAGGTTCTACTCCCTTAGTTGAGGACACACATCGTGAGTAAGTTTCTGACAATGCTTCTGTCTAGTTTTTATGGGAAGATATGTCCTTTTTCACCTTAGGCCGGAAAGCGCTCCAAAAGTCCAGTTACAGACACTACAAAAAGAGTGTTTCAAACCTGCTATGTGAAAGGGAATGTTCAATTCTGTGACTTGAATGCAAACATCACAAAGAAGTTGCTGAGAATGCTGCTGTCTGCTTTTTATACCTTATCCCGTTTCCAACGAAATCCTCAAATCCAGCCAAATATCCACTTGCAGACTCCACAAAAAGAGTGTTTCAAAACTGTACTGTCAAAAGAAATGTTCAACTCTGTTAGTTGAGGACACACATCAGAGACTAGCTTCTGAGAATGCTTCTGTCCAGTTGTTACGGGAAGATATTTCCTTTTTCAACATAGGCCTGAAACCGCTCCAAATGTCCACTTCCAGATACTACAAAAAGAGTGTTTCAAACCTTCTCTACGAAACGGCATGTTCTCCTCTGTGACTTGAATGCAAACATCCCAAAGAGGTTTCTGAGAATGCTTCTGTCTGGATTTTATCTGAAGACAATCCCGTTTCCAACGAAATCCTCAAAGATATGCAAATATGCTCCTGCAGATTCTACAAAAAGAGTGTTTCAAAACTGCTCTATGAAAAGAAAAGTTCGACTCTGTTAGTAGAGGGCACACATCACAAACAAGTTGCCGAGAATGCTTCTGTCTAGTTGTTATGGGAAGATATTTCCTTTTTCAACACAAGCCTGAATGCGCTCCAAATGGACACTTCCAGATATGACAAAAGGAGTGTCTCAAACCTGTTGTATCAAAGGGAATGTTCAGTTTTGTGACTTGAATGCAAACATCACCAAAAAGTTTCTCAGAACGCTGCTGTCTGCTTTTTATATGTATTCCCGTTTCCAACGAAATCGTCAAAGCCAGCCAAATATCCACTTGCAGGTTCCACAGAAAGAGTGTTTCAAAACTGCTCTCTCAAAAGACATGTTCAACTCTGTCAGTTGAGGACACACATCACAAAGAAGTTTCTGAGAATGCTAATGTCTAGTTTTTATGGGAAGATGTTTCCTTTTTCACCATAGGCCTCGAAGCGCTCCAAATGTCCACTTCCAGGGAATGGAAAATGAGTATTTCCAACCTGCTCTATGAAAGCGAATGCTCAACTCTGTGAATTGAATGCAACCATCACAAGGAAGTTTCTGAGAATGCTTCTGTCTAGATTTTATATGAAGATATTCCCGTTTCCAATGAAATCCTCAAAGCTATCCAAATATCCACTTGCAGATTCTACAAAAAGTGTGTTCTCAAATCTGCTCTATCAAAAGAAAGGTTCTACTCCGTTAGTTGAGGACACACATCACGAGTAAGTTTCTGAGAATGCTTCTGTCTGGTTTTTATGGGAAGATATGTCCTTTTTCACCTTAGGCCGGAAAGCGATCCAGATGTCCACTTACAGACACTACCAAAAGAGTGTTACAAAACTGCTCTATCAAAGGTAATGTTCAATTCTGTGACTTGAATGCAAACATCACAAAGAAGTTTCTGAGAATGCTGCTGTCGGCTTTTTATACGTAATCCCGTTTCCAACGAAATCCTAAAAATCTAGCCAAATATCCACTTGCAGACTCCACAAAAAGAGGGTTTCAAAACTGTTCTGTCTAAAGAAATGTTCAACTCTGTTAGTTGAGGACACACATCAGAGACTAGCTTCTGAGAATACTTCTGTCCAGTTGTTAAGGGAAGATATTTCCTTTTTCAACATAGGCCTGAAACTGCTCCAAATGTCCACTTCCAGATACTACAAAAAGAGTGTTTTAAACCTTCTCTACGAAAGGGCATGTTCTCCTCTGTGACTTGAATGGAAACATCCCAGCGAAGTTTCTGAGAATGCTTCTGTCTGGATTTTATCTGAAGACAATCCCGTTTCCAACGAAATCCTCAAAGCTATGCAAATATCCTCCTGCAGATTCTACAAAAAGAGTGTTTCAAAACTGCTCTATGAAAAGAAAGGTTCAACTCTGTTAGTAGAGGGCACACATCACAAACAAGTTGCTGAGAATGCTTCTGTCTAGTTGTTATGGGAAGATATTTCCTTTTTCAACACAAGCCTGAATGCGCTCCAAATGGACACTTCCAGATATGAGAAAAGGAGTGTTTCAAACCTGTTCTATCAAAGGGAATGTTCAATTCTGTGACTTGAATGCAAACATCACCAAGAAGTTTCTCAGAACGCTGCTGTCTGCTTTTTATATGTATTCCCTTTTCCAACGAAATCCTCAAAGCCAGCCAAATATCCACTTGCAGATTCCACAAAAAGAGTGTTTCAAAACTGCTCTCTCAAAAGAAATGTTCAACTCTGTCAGTTGAGGACACACATCACAAATAAGTTTCTGAGAATGCTTCTGTCTAGTTTTTTTGGGAAGATATTTCCTTTTTCACCATAGGCCTCAAAGCGCTCCAAATATCCACTTCCAGGTAATGGAAAAAGAGTGTTTCAAACATGCTCTATGAAAGCGAATGTTCAACTCTGTGACTTGAATGCAACCATCACAAGGAAGTTTCTGATAATACTTCTGTCTAGGTTTTATATGAAGATATTCCCGTTTCCAACGAAATCCTCAAAGCTATCCAAATATCCACTTGGAGATTCTACAAAAAGAGTGTTTCAAAACTGCTCTATCAAAAGAAAGGTTCTACTCCGTCAGTTGAGGACACACATCACGAGTAAGTTTCTGACAATGCTTCTGTCTAGTTTTTATGGGAAGATATGTCCTTTTTCACCTTAGGCCGGAAAGCGCTCCAAAAGTCCAGTTACAGACACTACAAAAAGAGTGTTTCAAACCTGCTCTGTGAAAGGGAATGTTCAATTCTGTGACTTGAATGCAAACATCACAAAGAAATTGCTGAGAATGCTGCTGTCTGCTTTTTATATGTAATCCCGTTTCCAACGAAATGCTCAAATCTAGCCAAATATCCACTTGCAAATTCCACAAAAAGAGTGTTTCAAAACTGTTCTGTCTAAAGAAATGTTCAACTGTGTTAGTTGAGGACACACATCAGAAACTAGTTTCTGAGAATGCTTCTGTCTAGTTGTTATGGGAAGATATTTCCTTTTTCAACACAAGCCTGAATGCGCTCCAAATGGACACTTCCAGATATGACAAAAGGAGTGTTTCAAACCTGTTCTATCAAAGGGAATGTTCAATTCTGTGACTTGAATGCAAACATCACCAAGAAGTTTCTCAGAACGCTGCTGTCTGCTTTTTATATGTATTCCCGTTTCCAACGAAATCCTCAAAGCCAGCCAAATATCCACTTGCAGATTCCACAAAAAGAGTGTTTCAAAACTGCTCTCTCAAAAGAAATGTTCAACTCTGTCAGTTGAGGACACACATCACAAATAAGTTTCTGAGAATGCTTCTGTCTAGTTTTTTTGGGAAGATATTTCCTTTTTCACCATAGGCCTCAAAGCGCTCCAAAAGTCCACTTCCAGGTAATGGAAAAAGAGTGTTTCAAACATGCTCTATGAAAGCGAATGTTCAACTCTGTGACTTGAATGCAACCATCACAAGGAAGTTTCTGATAATACTTCTCTCTAGATTTTATATGAAGATATTCCCGTTTCCAACGAAATCCACAAAGCTATCGAAATATCCACTTGCAGATTCTACAAAAAGAGTGTTTCAAAACTGCTCTATCAAAAGAAAGGTTCTACCCCTTTAGTTGAGGACACACATCACGAGTAAGTTTCTGAGAATGCTTCTGTCTAGTTTTTATGGGAAGATATTTCCTTTTTCACCTGAGGCCGGAAAGCGCTCCAAATGTCCACTTCCAGATACTACAAAAGGAGTGATTCAAACCTGCTCTATGATAGGGAACGTTCAACTCTGTGTCCTGAATACAAACATCACAAAGATGTTTCTCAGAACGCTGCTGTCTGCTTTTTATACCTTATCGCGTTTCCAACGAAATCCTCAAATCCAGCCAAATATCCACTTGCAGACTCCACAAAAAGAGTGTTTCAAAACTATACTCTCCAAAGAAATGTTCAACTCTGTTAGTTGAGGACACACATCAGAGACTAGCTTCTGAGAATGCTTCTGTCCAGTTGTTACGGGAAGATATTTCCTTTTTCAACATAGGCCTGAAACAGCTTCAAATGTCCGCTTCCAGATACTGCAAAGAGAGTGTTTCAAACCTTCTCTACGAAGGGGCATGTTCTCCTCAGTGACGTCAATGCAAACATCCCAAAGAAGTTTCTGAGAATGCTTCTGTCTGGATTTTATCTGAAGACAATCCCGTTTCCAACGAAATCCTCAAAGCTATGCAAATATGCTCCTGCAGATTCTACAAAAAGAGTGTTTCAAAACTGCTCTATGAATAGAAAGGTTCGACTCTGTTAGTAGAGGGCACACATCACAAACAAGTTGCCGAGAAGGCTTCTGTCTAGTTTTTATGGGAAGATATTTCCTTTTTCAACACAAGCCTGAATGCGCTCGAAATGGACACTTCCAGTTACGACAAAAGGAGAGTTTCAAACCTGTTCTATGAAAGGGAACTTTCCATTCAGTGACTTGAATGCAAACATCACCAAGAAGTTTCTCAGAACGCTGCTGTCTGCTTTTTATATGTATTCCCGTTTCCAACGAAATCGTCAAAGCCAGCCAAATATCCACTTGCAGGTTCCACAGAAAGATTGTTTCAAAACTGCTTTCTCAAAAGACATGTTCAACTCTGTCAGTTGAGGACACACATCACAAAGAAGTTTCTGAGAATGCTTCTGTCTAGTTTTTATGGGAAGATATTTCCTTTTTCACCATAGTCCTCAAAGCGCTCCAAATGTCCACTTCCAGGGAATGGAAAAAGAGTGTTTCCAACCTACTGTATGAAAGCCAATGTTCAACTCCGTGACTTGAATGCAACCATCACAAGGAAGTTTCTGAGAATGCTTCTGTCTAGGTTTTATATGAAGATATTCCCGTTTCCAACGAAATCCTCAAAGCTATCCAAATATCCACTTGGAGATTCTACAAAAAGAGTGTTTCAAAACTGCTCTATCAAAAGAAAGGTTCTACTCCGTCAGTTGAGGACACACATCACGAGTAAGTTTCTGACAATGCTTCTGTCTAGTTTTTATGGGAAGATATGTCCTTTTTCACCTTAGGCCGGAAAGCGCTCCAAAAGTCCAGTTACAGACACTACAAAAAGAGTGTTTCAAACCTGCTCTGTGAAAGGGAATGTTCAATTCTGTAACTTGAATGCAAAGATCACAAAGAAGTTGCTGAGAATGCTGCTGTCTGCTTTTTATATGTAATCCCGTTTCCAACGAAATGCTCAAATCTAGCCAAATATCCACTTGCAAATTCCACAAAAAGAGTGTTTCAAAACTGTTCTGTCTAAAGAAATGTTCAACTGTGTTAGTTGAGGACACACATCAGAAACTAGTTTCTGAGAATGCTTCTGTCTAGTTGTTATGGGAAGATATATCCTTTTTCAACACAAGCCTGAATGCGCTCCGAATGGACACTTCCAGATATGAGAAAAGGAGTCTTTCAAACCTGTTCTATCAAAGGGAATGTTCAATTCTGTGACTTGAATGCAAACATCACCAAGAAGTTTCTCAGAACGCTGCTGTCTGCTTTTTATATGTATTCCCGTTTCCAACGAAATCCTCAAAGCCAGCCAAATATCCACTTGCAGATTCCACAAAAAGAGTGTTTCAAAACTGCTCTCTCAAAAGAAATGTTCAACTCTGTCAGTTGAGGACACACATCACAAATAAGTTTCTGAGAATGCTTCTGTCTAGTTTTTATGGGAAGATATTTCCTTTTTCACCATAGGCCTCAAAGCGCTCCAAATGTCCACTTCCAGGGAATGGAAAAAGAGTGTTTCCAACCTGCTCTATGAAAGCCAATGTTCAACTCCGTGAGTTGAATGCAACCATCACAAGGAAGTTTCTGAGAATGCTTCTGTCTAGATTTTATATGAAGATATTCCCGTTTCCAACGAAATCCTCAAAGCTATCCAAATATCCACTTGGAGATTCTACAAAAAGAGTGTTTCAAAACTGCTCTATCAAAAGAAAGGTTCTACTCCGTCAGTTGAGGACACACATCTCGAGTAAATTTCTGAGAATGCTTATGTCTAGGTTTTATGGGAAGATATTTCCTTTTTCACCATAGGCCTCGAAGCGCTCCAAAAGTCCAGTTACAGACACTACAAAAAGAGTGTTTCAAACCTGCTCTGTGAAAGGGAATGTTCAATTCTGAGACTTGAATGCAAACATCACAACGAAGTTTCTGAGAATGCTGCTGTCTGCTTTTTATACGTAATCCCGTTTCCAACGAAATCCTCAAATCTAGCCAAATATCCACTTGCAGACTCCACAAAAAGAGAGTTTCAAAACAGTTCTGTCTAAAGAAATGTTCAACTCTCTTAGTTGAGGACACACATCAGAGACTAGCTCCTGAGAATTCTTCTGTCCAGTTGTTACGGGAAGATATTTCCTTTTTCAACATAATCTTGAAACCGCTCCAAATGTCCACTTCCAGATACTACAAAAAGAGTGTTTCAAACCTTCTCTACGAAAGGGCATGTTCTCCTCTGTGACTTGTATGCAAATCTCCCAAAGAAGTTGCTGAGAATGCTTCTGTCTGGATTTTATGTGAAGACAATCCCGTTTCCAAAGAAATCCTCAAATCTATGCAAATATTCAACTGCAGACTCTACAAACAGAGTGTTTCAAAACTGCTCTATGAAAAGAAAGGTTCACCTCTCTTAGTAGAGGGCACACAGCACAAACAAGTTGCTGAGAATGCTTCTGTCTAGTTTTTATGGGAAGATATTTCCTTTTTCAACACAAGCCTGAATGCGCTCCAAAGGGACACTTCCAGATACGACAAAAGGAGTGTTTCAAACCTGTTCTATGAAAGGGAACGTTCCATTCCGTGACTTGAATGCAAACATCACCAAGAAGTTTCTCAGAACGCTGCTGTCTGTTTTTATATGTATTCCCGTTTCCAACGAAATCGTCAAAGCCCGCCAAATATCCACTTGCAGGTTCCACAGAAAGAGTGTTTCAAAACTGCTCTCTCAAAAGACATGTTCAACTCTGTCAGTTGAGGACACACATCACAAAGAAGTTTCTGAGAATGCTTCTGTCTAGTTTTTATGGGAAGATATTTCCTTTTTCACCATAGGCCTCAAAGCGCTCCAAATGTCCACTTCCAGGGAATGGAAAAAGAGTGTTTCCAACCTGCTCTATGAAAGCCAATGTTCAACTCCGTGACTTGAATGCAACCATCACAAGGAAGTTTCTGAGAATGCTTCTGTCTAGATTTTATATGAAGATCTTCCCGTTTCCAACGAAATCCTCAAAGCTATCAAAATATCCACTTGCAGATTCTACAAAAAGAGTGTTTCAAAACTGCTCTATCAAAAGAAAGGTTCTACTCCGTTAGTTGAGGACACACATCACGAGTAAGTTTCTGAGAATGCTTCTGTCTAGTTTTTATGGGAAGATATTTCCTTTTTCACCTGAGGCCGGAAAGCGCTCCAAATGTCCACTTCCAGATACTACAAAAGGAGTGATTCAAACCTGCTCTATGATAGGGAATGTTCAACTCTGTGTCCTGAATACTAACATCACAAAGATGTTTCTCAGAACGCTGCTGTCTGCTTTTTATACCTTATCCCGTTTCCAACGAAATCCTCAAATCCAGCCAAATATCCACTTGCAGACTCCACAAAAAGAGTGTTTCAAAACTATACTCTCCAAAGAAATGTTCAACTCTGTTAGTTGAGGACACACATCAGAGACTAGCTTCTGAGAATGCTTCTGTCCAGTTGTTACGGGAAGATATTTCCTTTTTCAACATAGGCCTGAAACCGCTTCAAATGTCCACTTCCAGATACTGCAAAGAGAGTGTTTCAAACCTTCTCTACGAAAGGGCATGTTCTCCTCTGTGACGTCAATGCAAACATCCCAAAGAAGTTTCTGAGAATGCTTCTGTCTGGATTTTATCTGAAGACAATCCCGTTTCCAACGAAATCCTCAAAGATATGCAAATATGCTCCTGCAGATTCTACAAAAAGAGTGTTTCAAAACTGCTCTATGAAAAGAAAAGTTCGACTCTGTTAGTAGAGGGCACACATCACAAACAAGTTGCCGAGAATGCTTCTGTCTGATTTTTTTGGGAAGATATTTCCTTTTCCAACACAAGCCTGAATGCGCTCCAAATGGACACTTCCAGATACGACAAAAGGAGTGTTTCAAACCTGTTCTGTGAAAGGGAACGTTCCATTCTGTGACTTGAATGCAAACATCACCAAGTAGTTTCTCAGAACGCAGCTGTCTGCTTTTTATATGTATTCCCGTTTCCAACGAAATCGTCAAACCAGCTAAATATCCACTTGCAGGTTCCACAGAAAGAGTGTTTCAAAACTGCTCTCTCAAAAGACATGTTCAACTCTGTCAGTTGAGGACACACATCACAATGAAGTTTCTGAGAATGCTTCTGTCTAGTTTTTATGGGAAGATATTTCCTTTTTCACCATAGGCCTCAAAGCGCTCCAAATGTCCACTTCCAGGGAATGGAAAAAGAGTGTTTCCAACCTGCTCTATGAATGCCAATGTTCAACTCCGTGACTTGAATGCAACCATCACAAGGAAGTTTCTGAGAATGCTTCTGTCTAGGTTTTATATGAAGATATTCCCGTTTCCAACGAAATCCTCAAAGCTATCCAAATATCCACTTGGAGATTCTACAAAAAGAGTGTTTCAAAACTGCTCTATCAAAAGAAAGGTTCTACTCCGTCAGTTGAGGACACACATCACGAGTAAGTTTCTGACAATGCTTCTGTCTAGTTTTTATGGGAAGATATGTCCTTTTTCACCTTAGGCCGGAAAGCGCTCCAAAAGTCCAGTTACAGACACTACAAAAAGAGTGTTTCAAACCTGCTCTGTGAAAGGGAATGTTCAATTCTGTGACTTGAATGCAAACATCACAAAGAAATTGCTGAGAATGCTGCTGTCGGCTTTTTATACGTAATCCCGTTTCCAACGAAATCCTAAAAATCTAGCCAAATATCCACTTGCAGACTCCACAAAAAGAGTGTTTCAAAACTGTTCTGTCTAAAGAAATGTTCAACTCTGTTAGTTGAGGACACACATCAGAGACTAGCTTCTGAGAATGCTTCTTTCTAGTTGTTAAGGGAAGATATTTCCTTTTTCAACATAGGCCTGAAACCGCTCCAAATGTCCACTTTCAGATACTACAAAGAGAGTGTTTCAAACCTTCTCTAAGAAAGGGCATGTTCTCCTCTGTGACTTGTCTGCAAACATCCCAAAGAAGTTTCTGAGAATGCTTCTGTCTGGATTTTATCTGAAGACAATCCCGTTTCCAACGAAATCCTCAAAGCTATGCAAATATCCTCCTGCAGGTTCTACAAACAGAGTGTTTCAAAACTGCTGTATGAAAAGAAAGGTTCAACTCTGTTAGTAGAGGTCACACATCACAAACAAGTTGCTGAGAATGCTTCTGTCTAGTTTTTATGGGAAGATATTTCCTTTTTCAACACAAGCCTGAATGCGATCCAAATGGACACTTCCAGATACGACAAAAGGAGAGTTTCAAACCTGTTCTGTGAAAGGGAACGTTCCGTTCTGTGACTTGAATGCAAACATCACCAAGTAGTTTCTCAGAACGCTGCTGTCTGCTTTTTATATGTATTCCCGTTTCCAACGAAATCGTCAAAGCCAGCCAAATATCCACTTGCAGGTTCCACAAAAAGAGTGTTTCAAAACTGCTCTCTCAAAAGAAATGTTCAAATCTGTTAGTTGAGGACACACATCACAAATAAGTTTCTGAGAATGCTTCTGTCTAGTTTTGAGGGGAAAATATTTCCTTTTTCACCATAGGCCTCGAAGCGCTCCAAATGTCCACTTCCAGGGAATGGAAAAAGAGTGTTTCCATCCTGCTCTATGAAAGCGAATGTTCAACTCCGTGACTTGAATGCAACCATCACAAGGAAGTTTCTGAGAATGCTTCTGTCTAGATTTTATATGAAGATATTCCCGTTTCCAACGAAATCCTCAAAGCTATCCAAATATCCACTTGCAGATCCTACAAAAAGAGTGTTTCAAAACTGCTCTATCAAAAGAAAGCTTCTACTCCATTAGTTCAGGTCACATATCACGAGTAAGTTTCTGAGAATGCTTCTGTCTAGTTTTTATGGGAAGATATTTCCTTTTTCACCTTAGGCCGGAAAGCGCTCCAAATGTCCACTTACACACACTACAAAAAGAGTGTTTCAAATCTGCTCTGTGAAAGGGAATGTTCAATTCTGTGACTTGAATGCAATCATCACAAAGAACTTTCTGAGAATGCCGCTGTCTGCTTTTTATATGTAATCCCGTTTCCAACGAAATGCTCAAATCTAGCCAAATATCCACTTGCAAATTCCACAAAAAGAGTGTTTCAAAACTGTTCTGTCTAAAGAAATGTTCAACTGTGTTAGTTGAGGACACACATCAGAATCTAGTTTCTGAGAATGCTTCTGTCTAGTTGTTATGGGAAGATATATCCTTTTTCAACACAAGCCTGAATGCGCTCCGAATGGACACTTCCAGATATGAGAAAAGGAGTGTTTCAAACCTGTTCTATCAAAGGGAATGTTCAATTCTGTGACTTGAATGCAAACATCACCAAGAAGTTTCTCAGAACGCTGCTGTCTGCTTTTTATATGTAATCCCGTTTCCAACGAAATCGTCAAAGCCACCAAATATCCACTTGCAGATTCCACAAAAAGAGTGTTTCAAATCTGCTCTCTCAAAAGAAATGTTCAACTCTGTCAGTTGAGGACACACATCACAAATAAGTTTCTGAGAATGCTTCTGTCTAATTTTTATGGGAATAGATTTCCTTTTTCACCATAGGCCTCAAAGCGCTCCAAATGTCCACTTCCAGATAATGGAAAAAGAGTGTTTCCAACCTGCTCTATGAAAGTGAATGTTCAACTCCGTGACTTGAATGCAACCATCACAAGGAAGTTTCTGAGAATGCTTCTGTCTAGATTTTATATGAAGATATTCCCGTTTCCAACGAAATCCTCAAAGCTATCCAAATATCCATTTGCAGATTCTACAAAAAGAGTGTTTCAAAATTGCTCTCTCAAAAGAAATGTTCAAATCTGTTAGTTGAGGACACACATAACAAATAAGTTTCTGAGAATGCTTATGTCTAGGTTTTATGGGAAGATATTTCCTTTTTCACCATAGGCCTCGAAGCGCTCCAAAAGTCCAGTTACAGACACTACAAAAAGAGTGTTTCAAACCTGCTCTGTGAAAGGGAATGTTCAATTCTGAGACTTGAATGCAAACATCACAACGAAGTTTCTGAGAATGCTGCTGTCTGCTTTTTATATGTAATCCCGTTTCCAACGAAATGCTCAAATCTAGCCAAATATCCACTTGCAAATTCCACAAAAAGAGTGTTTCAAAACTGTTCTGTCTAAAGAAATGTTCAACTGTGTTAGTTGAGGACACACATCAGAAACTAGTTTCTGAGAATGCTTCTGTCTAGTTTTTATGGGAAGATATTTCCTTTTTCAACACAAGCCTGAATGCGCTCCAAATGGACACTTCCAGATACGACAAAAAGAGTGTTTCAAACCTGTTCTATGAAAGGGAACTTTCCATTCAGTGACTTGAATGCAAACATCACCAAGAAGTTTCTCAGAACGCTGCTGTCTGCTTTTTATATGTATTCCCGTTTCCAACGAAATCGTCAAAGCCAGCCGAATATCCCCTTGCAGATTCCACAAAAAGAGTGTTTCAAAACTGCTCTCTCAAAAGAAATGTTCAACTCTGTCAGGTGAGGACACACATCACAAATAAGTTTCTGAGAATGCTTCTGTCTAGTTTTTTTGGGAAGATATTTCCTTTTTCACCATAGGCCTCAAAGCGCTCCAAATGTCCACTTCCAGGTAATGGAAAAAGAGTGTTTCAAACATGCTCTATGAAAGCGAATGTTCAACTCTGTGACTTGAATGCAACCATCACAAGGGAAGTTTCTGATAATACTTCTGTCTAGGTTTTATATGAAGATATTCCCGTTTCCAACGAAATCCTCAAAGCTATCCAAATATCCACTTGGAGATTCTACAAAAAGAGTGTTTCAAAACTGCTCTATCAAAAGAAAGGTTCTACTCCGTCAGTTGAGGACACACATCACGAGTAAGTTTCTGACAATGCTTCTGTCTAGTTTTTATGGGAAGATATTTCCTTTTTCACCTTAGGCCGGAAAGCGCTCCAAATGTCCACTTTCACACACTACAAAAAGAGTGTTTCAAACCTGCTCTGTGAAAGGGAATGTTCAATTCTGTGACTTGAATGCAATCATCACAAAGAACTTTCTGAGAATGCCGCTGTCTGCTTTTTGTATGTAATCCCGTTTCCAACGAAATGCTCAAATCTAGCCAAATATCCACTTGCAGATTCCACAAAAAGAATGTTTCAAAACTGTTCTGTCTAAAGAAATGTACAACTGTGTTAGTTGAGGACACACATCAGAAACTAGTTTCTGAGAATGCTTCTGTCTAGTTGTTATGGGAAGATATTTCCTTTTTCAACACAAGCCTGAATGCGCTCCAAATGGACACTTCCAGATATGACAAAAGGAGTGTTTCAAACATGTTGTATCAAAGGGAATGTTCAGTTTTGTGACTTGAATGCAAACATCACCAAAAAGTTTCTCAGAACGCTGCTGTCTGCTTTTTATATGTATTTCCGTGTCCAACGAAATCATCAAAGCCAGCCAAATATCCACTTGCAGATTCCACAAAAAGAGTGTTTCAAAACTGCTCTCTCAAAAGAAATGTTCTAATCTGTTAGTTGAGGACATACATCACAAATAAGTTTCTGAGAATGCTTCTGTCTAGTTTTGAAGAGAAGATATTTCCTTTTTCACCATAGGCCTCAAAGCGCTCCAAATGTCCACTTCCAGGGAATGCTAAAAGAATGTTTCCAACCTGCTCTATGAAAGGGAATGTTCAACTCCGTGACTTGAATGCAACCATCACAAGGAAGTTTCTGAGAATTCTTCTGTCTAGGTTTTATATGAAGATATTCCCGTTTCCAACGAAATCCTCAAAGCTATCCAAATATCCACTTGGAGATTCTACAAAAAGAGTGTTTCAAAACTGCTCTATCAAAAGAAAGGTTCTACTCCGTCAGTTGAGGACACACATCACGAGTAAGTTTCTGACAATGCTTCTGTGTAGTTTTTATGGGAAGATATGTCCTTTTTCACCTTAGGCCGGAAAGCGCTCCAAAAGTCCAGTTACAGACACTACAAAAAGAGTGTTTCAAACCTGCTCTGTGAAAGGGAATGTTCAATTCTGTGACTTGAATGCAAACATCACAAAGAAATTGCTGAGAATGCTGCTGTCTGCTTTTTATACCTTATCGCGTTTCCAACGAAATCCTCAAATCCAGCCAAATATCCACTTGCAGACTCCACAAAAAGAGTGTTTCAAAACTATACTCTCCAAAGAAATGTTCAACTCTGTTAGTTGAGGACACACATCAGAGACTAGCTTCTGAGAATGCTTCTGTCCAGTTGTTACGGGAAGATATTTCCTTTTTCAACATAGGCCTGAAACCGCTTCAAATGTCCGCTTCCAGATACTGCAAAGAGAGTGTTTCAAACCTTCTCTACGAAGGGGCATGTTCTCCTCAGTGACGTCAATGCAAACATCCCAAAGAAGTTTCTGAGAATGCTTCTGTCTGGATTTTATCTGAAGACAATCCCGTTTCCAACGAAATCCTCAAAGATATGCAAATATGCTCCTGCAGATTCTACAAAAAGAGTGTTTCAAAACTGCTCTATGAAAAGAAAAGTTCGACTCTGTTAGTAGAGGGCACACATCACAAACAAGTTGCCGAGAATGCTTTTGTCTGTATTTTATAGGAAGATATTTCCTTTTTCAACACAAGCCTTAATGCGCTCCAAATGGACACTTCCAGATACGACAAAAGGAGTGTTTCAAACCTGTTCTATGAAAGGGAACGTTCCATTCCGTGACTTGAATGCAAACATCACCAAGAAGTTTCTCAGAACGCTGCTGTCTGCTTTTTATATGTATTTCCGTTTCCAACGAAATCGTCAAAGCCAGCCAAATATCCACTTGCAGATTCCACAAAAAGAGTGTTTCAATTCTGCTCCCTCAAAAGAAATGTTCAACTCTGTCAGTTGAGGATACACATCACAAAAAAGTTTCTGAGAATGCTTCTGTCTAGTTTTTATGGGAAGATATTTCCTTTTTCACCATAGGCCTCAAAGCGCTCCAAATGTCCACCTCCAGGGAATGCAAAAAGAGTGTTTCCAACCTGCTCTATGAAAGCAAATGTTCAACTCCGTGACTTGAATGCAACCATCACAAGGAAGTTTCTGAGAATGCTTCTGTCTAGATTTTATATGAAGATATTCCCGTTTCCAACGAAATCCTCAAAGCTATCCAAATATCCACTTGCAGATTCTACAAAAAGAGTGTTTCAAAACTGCTCTATCAAAAGAAAGATTCTACTCCGTTGGTTGAGGACACACATCACAAACAAGTTGCTGAGAATGCCTCTGTCTAGTTTTTATGGGAAGATATTTCCTTTTTCACCTTAGGCCGGAAAGCGCTCCAAATGTCCACTTTCACACACTACAAAAAGAGTGTTTCAAACCTGCTCTGTGAAAGGGAATGTTCAATTCTGTGACTTGAATGCAATCATCACAAAGAACTTTCTGAGAATGCCGCTGTCTGCTTTTTATATGTAATCCCGTTTCCAACGAAATGCTCAAATCTAGCCAAATATCCACTTGCAAATTCCACAAAAAGAGTGTTTCAAAACTGTTCTGTCTAAAGAAATGTTCAACTGTGTTAGTTGAGGACACACATCAGAAACTAGTTTCTGAGAATGCTTCTGTCTAGTTGTTATGGGAAGATATATCCTTTTTCAACACAAGCCTGAATGCGCTCCGAATGGACACTTCCAGATATGAGAAAAGGAGTGTTTCAAACCTGTTCTATCAAAGGGAATGTTCAATTCTGTGACTTGAATGCAAACATCACCAAGAAGTTTCTCAGAACGCTGCTGTCTGCTTTTTATATGTATTCCCGTTTCCAACGAAATCGTCAAAGCCAGCCAAATATCCACTTGCAGGTTCCACAGAAAGAGTGTTTCAGAACTGCTCTCTCAAAAGACATGTTCAACTCTGTCAGTTGAGGACACACATCACAAAGAAGTTTCTGAGAATGTTTCTGTCTAGTTTTGATGGGAAGATATTTCCTTTTTCACCATAGGCCTCAAAGCGCTCCAAATGTCCACTTCCACGGAATGGAAAAAGAGTGTTTCCAACCTGCTCTATGAAAGCGAATGTTCAACTCCGTGACTTGAATGCAACCATCACAAGGAAGTTTCTGAGAATGCTTCTGTCTAGATTTTATATGAAGATGTTCCCGTTTCCAACGAAATCCTCAAAGCTATCCAAATATCCACTTGCAGATTCTACAAAAAGAGTGTTTCAAAACTGCTCTATCAAAAGAAAGGTTCTATTCCGTTAGTTGAGGACACACATCACGAGTAAGTTTCTGAGAATGCTTCTGTCTAGTTTTTATGGGAAGATATGTCCTTTTTCACCTTAGGCCGGAAAGCGCTCCAAAAGTCCAGTTACAGACACTACAAAAAGAGTGTTTCAAACCTGCTATGTGAAAGGGAATGTTCAATTCTGTGACTTGAATGCAAACATCACAAAGAAGTTGCTGAGAATGCTGCTGTCTGCTTTTTATACCTTATCCCGTTTCCAACGAAATCCTCAAATCCAGCCAAATATCCACTTGCAGACTCCACAAAAAGAGTGTTTCAAAACTATACTCTCCAAAGAAATGTTCAACTCTGTTAGTTGAGGACACACATCAGAGACTAGCTTCTGAGAATGCTTCTGTCCAGTTGTTACGGGAAGATATTTCCTTTTTCAACATAGGCCTGAAACAGCTTCAAATGTCCACTTCCAGATACTGCAAAGAGAGTGTTTCAAACCTTCTCTACGAAAGGGCATGTTCTCCTCAGTGACGTCAATGCAAACATCCCAAAGAAGTTTCTGAGAATGCTTCTGTCTGGATTTTATCTGAACACAATCCCGTTTCCAACGATATCTTCAAATCTATGCAAATATCCTCCTGCTGATTCTACAAAAAGAGTGTTTCAAAACTGCTCTATGAAGAGAAAGGTTCAACACTGTTAGTAGAGGGCACACATCACAAACAAGTTTCTGAGAATGCTTCTGTCTAGTTTTTATTTGAAGATATAAACTTTTTCAACACAAGCCTGAATGCGCTCCAAATGGACACTTCCAGATACGACAAAAGTGGTGTTTCAAACCTGTTCTATGAAAGGGAACGTTCCATTCTGTGACTTTAATGCAAACATCACCAAGAAGTTTCTCAGAACGGTGCTGTCTGCTTTTTATATGTATTCACGTTGCCAAGGAAATCGTCAAAGCCAGCCAAATATCCACTTGCAGATTCCACAAAAAGGTGTTTCAAAACTGCTCTCTCAAAAGAAATGTTCAACTCTGTCAGTTGAGGACACACATCACAAATAAGTTTCTGAGAATGCTAATGTCTAGTTTTTATGGGAAGATGTTTCCTTTTTCACCATAGGCCTCAAAGCAGCTCCAAATGTCCACTTCCAGGGAATGGAAAAAGAGTGTTTCCAACCTGCTCTATGAAAGCCAATGTTCAACTCCGTGACATGAATGCAACCATCACAAGGAAGTTTCTGAGAATGCTTCTCTCTAGATTTTATATGAAGATATTCCCGTTTCCAACGAAATCCACAAAGCTATCGAAATATCCACTTGCAGATTCTACAAAAAGAGTGTTTCAAAACTGCTCTATCAAAAGAAAGGTTCTACCCCTTTAGTTGAGGACACACACCACGAGTAAGTTTCTGAGAATGCTTCTGTCTAGTTTTTATGGGAAGATATGTCCTTTTTCACCTTAGGCCGGAAAGCGCTCCAAAAGTCCAGTTACAGACACTACAAAAAGAGTGTTTCAAACCTGCTCTGTGAAAGGGAATGTTCAATTCTGTGACTTGAATGCAAACATCACAAAGAAGTTGCTGAGAATGCTGCTGTCTGCTTTTTATACCTTATCCCGTTTCCAACGAAATCCTCAAATCCAGCCAAATATCCACTTGCAGACTCCACAAAAAGAGTGTTTCAAAACTATACTCTCCAAAGAAATGTTCAACTCTGTTAGTTGAGGACACACATCAGAGACTAGCTTCTGAGAATGCTTCTGTCCAGTTGTTACGGGAAGATATTTCCTTTTTCAACATAGGCCTGAAACCGCTTCAAATGTCCACTTCCAGATACTGCAAAGAGAGTGTTTCAAACCTTCTCTACGAAAGGGCATGTTCTCCTCTGTGACGTCAATGCAAACATCCCAAAGAAGTTTCTGAGAATGCTTCTGTCTGGATTTTATCTGAAGACAATCCCGTTTCCAAAGAAATCCTCAAAGATATGCAAATATGCTCCTGCAGATTCTACAAAAAGAGTGTTTCAAAACTGCTCTATGAAAAGAAAGGTTCGACTCTGTTAGTAGAGGGCACACATCCCAAACAAGTTGCCGAGAATGATTCTGTCTGGTTTTTATGGGAAGATATTTCCTTTTCCAACACAAGCCTGAATGCGCTCCAAATGGACACTTCCAGATACGACAAAAGGAGTGTTTCAAAGCTGTTCTATGAAAGGCAACGTTCCATTGTGTGACTTGAATGCAAACATCACCAAGTAGTTTCTCAGAACGCTGCTGTCTGCTTTTTATATGTATTCCCGTTTCCAACGAAATCGTCAAAGCCAGCCAAATATCCACTTGCAGGTTCCACAGAAAGAGTGTTTCAAAACTGCTCTCTCAAAAGACATGTTCAACTCTGTCAGTTGAGGACACACATCACAAAGAAGTTTCTGAGAATGCTTCTGTCTAGTTTTTATGGGAAGATATTTCCTTTTTCACCATAGGCCTCAAAGCGCTCCAAATGTCCACTTCCAGGGAATGGAAAAAGAGTGTTTCCAACCTACTGTATGAAAGCCAATGTTCAACTCCGTGACTTGAATGCAACCATCACAAGGAAGTTTCTGGGAATGCTTCTGTCTAGGTTTTATATGAAGATATTCCCGTTTCCAACGAAATCCTCAAAGCTATCCAAATATCCACTTGGAGATTCTACAAAAAGAGTGTTTCAAAACTGCTCTATCAAAAGAAAGGTTCTACTCCGTCAGTTGAGGACACACATCACGAGTAAGTTTCTGACAATGCTTCTGTCTAGTTTTTATGGGAAGATATGTCCTTTTTCACCTTAGGCCGGAAAGCGCTCCAAAAGTCCAGTTACAGACACTACAAAAAGAGTGTTTCAAACCTGCTCTGTGAAAGGGAATGTTCAATTCTGTGACTTGAATGCAAACATCACAAAGAAGTTGCTGAGAATGCTGCTGTCTGCTTTTTATACCTTATCCCGTTTCCAACGAAATCCTCAAATCCAGCCAAATATCCACTTGCAGACTCCACAAAAAGAGTGTTTCAAAACTGTACTGTCAAAAGAAATGTTCAACTCTGTTAGTTGAGGACACACATCAGAGACTAGCTTCTGAGAATGCTTCTGTCCAGTTGTTACGGGAAGATATTTCCTTTTTCAACATAGGCCTGAAACCGCTTCAAATGTCCACTTCCAGATACTGCAAAGAGAGTGTTTCAAACCTTCTCTACGAAAGGGCATGTTCTCCTCAGTGACGTCAATGCAAACATCCCAAAGAAGTTTCTGAGAATGCTTCTGTCTGGATTTTATCTGAAGACAATCCCGTTTCCAACGAAATCCTCAAAGATATGCAAATATGCTCCTGCAGATTCTACAAAAAGAGTGTTTCAAAACTGCTCTATGAATAGAAAGGTTCGACTCTGTTAGTAGAGGGCACACATCACAAACAAGTTGCCGAGAAGGCTTCTGTCTGGTTTTTATGGGAAGATATTTCCTTTTCCAACACAAGCCTGAATGCGCTCCAAATGGACACTTCCAGATACGACAAAAGGAGTGTTTCAAACCTGTTCTGTGAAAGGGAACGTTCCATTCTGTGACTTGAATGCAAACATCACCAAGTAGTTTCTCAGAACGCTGCTGTCTGTTTTTATATGTATTCCCGTTTCCAACGAAATCGTCAAAGCCCGCCAAATATCCACTTGCAGGTTCCACAGAAAGAGTGTTTCAAAACTGCTCTCTCAAAAGACATGTTCAACTCTGTCAGTTGAGGACACACATCACAAAGAAGTTTCTGAGAATGCTTCTGTCTAGTTTTTATGGGAAGATATTTCCTTTTTCACCATAGGCCTCAAAGCGCTCCAAATGTCCACTTCCAGGGAATGGAAAAAGAGTGTTTCCAACCTGCTCTATGAAAGCCAATGTTCAACTCCGTGACTTGAATGCAACCATCACAAGGAAGTTTCTGAGAATGCTTCTGTCTAGGTTTTATATGAAGATATTCCCGTTTCCAACGAAATCCTCAAAGCTACCCAAATATCCACTTGGAGATTCTACAAAAAGAGTGTTTCAAAACTGCTCTATCAAAAGAAAGGTTCTACTCCGTCAGTTGAGGACACACATCACGAGTAAGTTTCTGACAATGCTTCTGTCTAGTTTTTATGGGAAGATATGTCCTTTTTCACCTTAGGCCGGAAAGCGCTCCAAAAGTCCAGTTACAGACACTACAAAAAGAGTGTTTCAAACCTGCTCTGTGAAAGGGAATGTTCAATTCTGTGACTTGAATGCAAACATCACAAAGAAGTTGCTGAGAATGCTGCTGTCTGCTTTTTATACCTTATCCCGTTTCCAACGAAATCCTCAAATCCAGCCAAATATCCACTTGCACACTCCACAAAAAGAGTTTTTCAAAACTATACTCTCCAAAGAAATGTTCAACTCTGTTAGTTGAGGACACACATCAGAGACTAGCTTCTGAGAATGCTTCTGTCCAGTTGTTACGGGAAGATATTTCCTTTTTCAACATAGGCCTGAAACCGCTTCAAGTGTCCACTTCCAGATACTGCAAAGAGAGTGTTTCAAACCTTCTCTACGAAAGGGCATGTTCTCCTCTGTGACGTCAATGCAAACATCCCAAAGAAGTTTCTGAGAATGCTTCTGTCTGGATTTTATCTGAAGACAATCCCGTTTCCAATGAAATCCTCAAAGATATGCAAATATGCTCCTGCAGATTCTACAAAAAGAGTGTTTCAAAACTGCTCTAGGAAAAGAAAGGTTCGACTCTGTTAGTAGAGGGCACACATCACAAACAAGTTGCCGAGAATGCTTCTGTCTGATTTTTATGGGAAGATATTTCCTTTTCCAACACAAGCCTGAATGCGCTCCAAATGGACACTTCGAGATACGACAAAAGGAGTGTTTCAAACCTGTTCTGTGAAAGGGAACGTTCCATTCTGTGACTTGAATGCAAACATCACCAAGTAGTTTCTCAGAACGCTGCTGTCTGTTTTTATATGTATTCCCGTTTCCAACGAAATCGTCAAAGCCCGCCAAATATCCACTTGCAGGTTCCACAGAAAGAGTGTTTCAAAACTGCTCTCTCAAAAGACATGTTCAACTCTGTCAGTTGAGGACACACATCACAAAGAAGTTTCTGAGAATGCTTCTGTCTAGTTTTTATGGGAAGATATTTCCTTTTTCACCATAGGCCTCAAAGCGCTCCAAATGTCCACTTCCAGGGAATGGAAAAAGAGTGTTTCCAACCTACTGTATGAAAGCCAATGTTCAACTCCGTGACTTGAATGCAACCATCACAAGGAAGTTTCTGAGAATGCTTCTGTCTAGGTTTTATATGAAGATATTCCCGTTTCCAACGAAATCCTCAAAGGTACCCAAATATCCACTTGGAGATTCTACAAAAAGAGTGTTTCAAAACTGCTCTATCAAAAGAAAGGTTCTACTCCGTCAGTTGAGGACACACATCACGAGTAAGTTTCTGACAATGCTTCTGTCTAGTTTTTATGGGAAGATATGTCCTTTTTCACCTTAGGCCGGAAAGCGCTCCAAAAGTCCAGTTACAGACACTACAAAAAGAGTGTTTCAAACCTGCTCTGTGAAAGGGAATGTTCAATTCTGTGACTTGAATGCAAACATCACAAAGAAGTTGCTGAGAATGCTGCTGTCTGCTTTTTATACCTTATCCCGTTTCCAACGAAATCCTCAAATCCAGCCAAATATCCACTTGCAGACTCCACAAAAAGAGTGTTTCAAAACTGTACTGTCAAAAGAAATGTTCAACTCTGTTAGTTGAGGACACACATCAGAGACTAGCTTCTGAGAATGCTTCTGTCCAGTTGTTACGGGAAGATATTTCCTTTTTCAACATAGGCCTGAAACCACTTCAAATGTCCACTTCCAGATACTACAAAGAGAGTGTTTCAAACCTTCTCTACGAAAGGGCATGTTCTCCTCTGTGACGTCAATGCAAACATCCCAAAGAAGTTTCTGAGAATGCTTCTGTCTGGATTTTATCTGAAGACAATCCCGTTTCCAAAGAAATCCTCAAAGATATGCAAATATGCTCCTTCAGATTCTACAAAAGGAGTGTTTCAAAACTGCTCTATGAATAGAAAGGTTCGACTCTGTTAGTAGAGGGCACACATCACAAACAAGTTGCCGAGAAGGCTTCTGTCTGATTTTTATGGGAAGATATTTCCTTTTCCAACACAAGCCTGAATGCGCTCCAAATGGACACTTCGAGATACGACAAAAGGAGTGTTTCAAACCTGTTCTGTGAAAGGGAACGTTCCATTCTGTGACTTGAATGCAAACATCACCAAGTAGTTTCTCAGAACGCTGCTGTCTGTTTTTATATGTATTCCCGTTTCCAACGAAATCGTCAAAGCCCGCCAAATATCCACTTGCAGGTTCCACAGAAAGAGTGTTTCAAAACTGCTCTCTCAAAAGACATGTTCAACTCTGTCAGTTGAGGACACACATCACAAAGAAGTTTCTGAGAATGCTTCTGTCTAGTTTTTATGGGAAGATATTTCCTTTTTCACCATAGGCCTCAAAGCGCTCCAAATGTCCACTTCCAGGGAATGGAAAAAGAGTGTTTCCAACCTACTGTATGAAAGCCAATGTTCAACTCCGTGACTTGAATGCAACCATCACAAGGAAGTTTCTGAGAATGCTTCTGTCTAGGTTTTATATGAAGATATTCCCGTTTCCAACGAAATCCTCAAAGCTACCCAAATATCCACTTGGAGATTCTACAAAAAGAGTGTTTCAAAACTGCTCTATCAAAAGAAAGGTTCTACTCCGTCAGTTGAGGACACACATCACGAGTAAGTTTCTGACAATGCTTCTGTCTAGTTTTTATGGGAAGATATGTCCTTTTTCACCTTAGGCCGGAAAGCGCTCCAAAAGTCCAGTTACAGACACTACAAAAAGAGTGTTTCAAACCTGCTCTGTGAAAGGGAATGTTCAATTCTGTGACTTGAATGCAAACATCACAAAGAAGTTGCTGAGAATGCTGCTGTCTGCTTTTTATACCTTATCCCGTTTCCAACGAAATCCTCAAATCCAGCCAAATATCCACTTGCAGACTCCACAAAAAGAGTGTTTCAAAACTGTACTGTCAAAAGAAATGTTCAACTCTGTTAGTTGAGGACACACATCAGAGACTAGCTTCTGAGAATGCTTCTGTCCAGTTGTTACGGGAAGATATTTCCTTTTTCAACATAGGCCTGAAACCACTTCAAATGTCCACTTCCAGATACTGCAAAGAGAGTGTTTCAAACCTTCTCTACGAAAGGGCATGTTCTCCTCTGTGACGTCAATGCAAACATCCCAAAGAAGTTTCTGAGAATGCTTCTGTCTGGATTTTATCTGAAGACAATCCCGTTTCCAACGAAATCCTCAAAGATATGCAAATATGCTCCTGCAGATTCTACAAAAAGAGTGTTTCAAAACTGCTCTATGAATAGAAAGGTTCGACTCTGTTAGTAGAGGGCACACATCACAAACAAGTTGCCGAGAAGGCTTCTGTCTGGTTTTTATGGGAAGATATTTCCTTTTCCAACACAAGCCTGAATGCGCTCCAAATGGACACTTCCAGATACGACAAAAGGAGTGTTTCAAACCTGTTCTGTGAAAGGGAACGTTCCATTCTGTGACTTGAATGCAAACATCACCAAGTAGTTTCTCAGAACGCTGCTGTCTGCTTTTTATATGTATTCCCGTTTCCAACGAAATCGTCAAAGCCAGCCAAATATCCACTTGCAGGTTCCACAGAAAGAGTGTTTCAGAACTGCTCTCTCAAAAGACATGTTCAACTCTGTCAGTTGAGGACACACATCACAAAGAAGTTTCTGAGAATGCTTCTGTCTAGTTTTTATGGGAAGATATTTCCTTTTTCACCATAGGCCTCAATGCGCACCAAATGTCCACTTCCAGGGAATGGAAAAAGAGTGTTTCCAACCTGCTCTATGAAAGCCAATGTTCAACTCCGTGACTTGAATGCAACCATCACAAGGAAGTTTCTGAGAATGCTTCTGTCTAGGTTTTATATGAAGATATTCCCGTTTCCAACGAAATCCTCAAAGCTATCCAAATATCCACTTGGAGATTCTACAAAAAGAGTGTTTCAAAACTGCTCTATCAAAAGAAAGGTTCTACTCCGTCAGTTGAGGACACACATCACGAGTAAGTTTCTGACAATGCTTCTGTGTAGTTTTTATGGGAAGATATGTCCTTTTTCACCTTAGGCCGGAAAGCGCTCCAAAAGTCCAGTTACAGACACTACAAAAAGAGTGTTTCAAACCTGCTCTGTGAAAGGGAATGTTCAATTCTGTGACTTGAATGCAAACATCACAAAGAAATTGCTGAGAATGCTGCTGTCTGCTTTTTATACCTTATCCCGTTTCCAACGAAATCCTCAAATCCAGCCAAATATCCACTTGCACACTCCACAAAAAGAGTTTTTCAAAACTATACTCTCCAAAGAAATGTTCAACTCTGTTAGTTGAGGACACACATCAGAGACTAGCTTCTGAGAATGCTTCTGTCCAGTTGTTACGGGAAGATATTTCCTTTTTCAACATAGGCCTGAAACCGCTTCAAATGTCCACTTCCAGATACTGCAAAGAGAGTGTTTCAAACCTTCTCTACGAAAGGGCATGTTCTCCTCTGTGACGTCAATGCAAACATCCCAAAGAACTTTCTGAGAATGCTTCTGTCTGGATTTTATCTGAAGACAATCCCGTTTCCAACGAAATCCTCAAAGATATGCAAATATGCTCCTGCAGATTCTACAAAAAGAGTGTTTCAAAACTGCTCTATGAAAAGAAAAGTTCGACTCTGTTAGTAGAGGGCACACATCACAAACAAGTTGCCGAGAATGCTTTCTGTCTGGTTTTTATGGGAAGATATTTCCTTTTCCAACACAAGCCTGAATGCGCTCCAAATGGACACTTCGAGATACGACAAAAGGAGTGTTTCAAACCTGTTCTGTGAAAGGGAACGTTCCATTCTGTGACTTGAATGCAAACATCACCAAGTAGTTTCTCAGAACGCTGCTGTCTGTTTTTATATGTATTCCCGTTTCCAACGAAATCGTCAAAGCCCGCCAAATATCCACTTGCAGGTTCCACAGAAAGAGTGTTTCAAAACTGCTCTCTCAAAAGACATGTTCAACTCTGTCAGTTGAGGACACACATCACAAAGAAGTTTCTGAGAATGCTTCTGTCTAGTTTTTATGGGAAGATATTTCCTTTTTCACCATAGGCCTCAAAGCGCTCCAAATGTCCACTTCCAGGGAATGGAAAAAGAGTGTTTCCAACCTGCTCTATGAAAGCCAATGTTCAACTCCGTGACTTGAATGCAACCATCACAAGGAAGTTTCTGAGAATGCTTCTGTCTAGGTTTTATATGAAGATATTCCCGTTTCCAACGAAATCCTCAAAGCTATCCAAATATCCACTTGGAGATTCTACAAAAAGAGTGTTTCAAAACTGCTCTATCAAAAGAAAGGTTCTACTCCGTCAGTTGAGGACACACATCACGAGTAAGTTTCTGACAATGCTTCTGTCTAGTTTTTATGGGAAGATATGTCCTTTTTCACCTTAGGCCGGAAAGCGCTCCAAAAGTCCAGTTACAGACACTACAAAAAGAGTGTTATAAACCTGCTCTGTGAAAGGGAATGTTCAATTCTGTGACTTGAATGCAAACATCACAAAGAAGTTGCTGAGAATGCTGCTGTCTGCTTTTTATACCTTATCGCGTTTCCAACGAAATCCTCAAATCCAGCCAAATATCCACTTGCAGACTCCATAAAGAGAGTGTTTCAAAACTATACTCTCCAAAGAAATGTTCAACTCTGTTAGTTGAGGACACACATCAGAGACTAGCTTCTGAGAATGCTTCTGTCCAGTTGTTACGGGAAGATATTTCCTTTTTCAACATAGGCCTGAAACCGCTTCAAATGTCCACTTCCAGATACTGCAAAGAGAGTGTTTCAAACCTTCTCTACGAAAGGGCATGTTCTCCTCTGTGACGTCAATGCAAACATCCCAAAGAACTTTCTGAGAATGCTTCTGTCTGGATTTTATCTGAAGACAATCCCGTTTCCAACCAAATCCTCAAAGATATACAAATATGCTCCTGCAGATTCTACAAAAAGAGTGTTTCAAAACTGCTCTATGAATAGAAAGGTTCGACTCTGTTAGTAGAGGGCACACATCACAAACAAGTTGCCGAGAATGCTTCTGTCTGGTTTTTATGGGAAGATATTTCCTTTTCCAACACAAGCCTGAATGCGCTCCAAATGGACACTTCCAGATACGACTAAAGGAGTGTTTCAAACCTTTTCTGGGAAAGGGAACGTTCCATTCTGTGACTTGAATGCAAACATCACCAAGTAGTTTCTCAGACGCTGCTGTCTGCTTTTTATATGTATTCCCGTTTCCAACGAAATCGTCAAAGCCAGCCAAATATCCACTTGCAGGTTCCACAGAAAGAGTGTTTCAAAACTGCTCTCTCAAAAGACATGTTCAACTCTGTCAGTTGAGGACACACATCACAAAGAAGTTTCTGAGAATGCTTCTGTCTAGTTTTTATGGGAAGATATTTCCTTTTTCACCATAGTCCTCAAAGCGCTCCAAATGTCCACTTCCAGGGAATGGAAAAAGAGTGTTTCCAACCTACTGTATGAAAGCCAATGTTCAACTCCGTGACTTGAATGCAACCATCACAAGGAAGTTTCTGAGAATGCTTCTGTCTAGGTTTTATATGAAGATATTCCCGTTTCCAACGAAATCCTCAAAGCTATCCAAATATCCACTTGGAGATTCTACAAAAAGAGTGTTTCAAAACTGCTCTATCAAAAGAAAGGTTCTACTCCGTCAGTTGAGGACACACATCACGAGTAAGTTTCTGACAATGCTTCTGTCTAGTTTTTATGGGAAGATATGTCCTTTTTCACCTTAGGCCGGAAAGCGCTCCAAAAGTCCAGTTACAGACACTACAAAAAGAGTGTTTCAAACCTGCTCTGTGAAAGGGAATGTTAAATTCTGTGACTTGAATGCAAACATCACAAAGAAATTGCTGAGAATGCTGCTGTCTGCTTTTTATACCTTATCCCGTTTCCAACGAAATCCTCAAATCCAGCCAAATATCCACTTGCAGACTCCACAAAAAGAGTGTTTCAAAACTATACTCTCCAAAGAAATGTTCAACTCTGTTAGTTGAGGACACACATCAGAGACTAGCTTCTGAGAATGCTTCTGTCCAGTTGTTACGGGAAGATATTTCCTTTTTCAACATAGGCCTGAAACCGCTTCAAATGTCCACTTCCAGATACTGCAAAGAGAGTGTTTCAAACCTTCTCTACGAAAGGGCATGTTCTCCTCAGTGACGTCAATGCAAACATCCCAAAGAAGTTTCTGAGAATGCTTCTGTCTGGATTTTATCTGAAGACAATCCCGTTTCCAACGAAATCCTCAAAGCTATGCAAATATGCTCCTGCAGATTCTACAAAAAGAGTGTTTCAAAACTGCTCTATGAATAGAAAGGTTCGACTCTGTTAGTAGAGGGCACACATCACAAACAAGTTGCCGAGAAGGCTTCTGTCTGGTTTTTATGGGAAGATATTTCCTTTTCCAACACAAGCCTGAATGCGCTCCAAATGGACACTTCCAGATACGACAAAAGGAGTGTTTCAAACCTGTTCTGTGAAAGGGAACGTTCCATTCTGTGACTTGAATGCAAACATCACCAAGTAGTTTCTCAGAACGCTGCTGTCTGCTTTTTATATGTATTCCCGTTTCCAACGAAATCGTCAAAGCCAGCCAAATATCCACTTGCAGGTTCCACAGAAAGAGTGTTTCAGAACTGCTCTCTCAAAAGACATGTTCAACTCTGTCAGTTGAGGACACACATCACAAAGAAGTTTCTGAGAATGCTTCTGTCTAGTTTTTATGGGAAGATATTTCCTTTTTCACCATAGGCCTCAAAGCGCTCCAAATGTCCACTTCCAGGGAATGGAAAAAGAGTGTTTCCAACCTGCTCTATGAAAGCCAATGTTCAACTCCGTGACTTGAACGCAACCATCACAAGGAAGTTTCTGAGAATGCTTCTGTCTAGGTTTTATATGAAGATATTCCCGTTTCCAACGAAATCCTCAAAGCTATCCAAATATCCACTTGGAGATTCTACAAAAAGAGTGTTTCAAAACTGCTCTATCAAAAGAAAGGTTCTACTCCGTCAGTTGAGGACACACATCACGAGTAAGTTTCTGACAATGCTTCTGTCTAGTTTTTATGGGAAGATATGTCCTTTTTCACCTTAGGCCGGAAAGCGCTCCAAAAGTCCAGTTACAGACACTACAAAAAGAGTGTTTCAAACCTGCTCTGTGAAAGGGAATGTTCAATTCTGTGACTTGAATGCAAACATCACAAAGAAGTTGCTGAGAATGCTGCTGTCTGCTTTTTATACCTTATCCCGTTTCCAACGAAATCCTCAAATCCAGCCAAATATCCACTTGCAGACTCCACAAAAAGAGTGTTTCAAAACTGTACTGTCAAAAGAAATGTTCAACTCTGTTAGTTGAGGACACACATCAGAGACTAGCTTCTGAGAATGCTTCTGTCCAGTTGTTACGGGAAGATATTTCCTTTTTCAACATAGGCCTGAAACCACTTCAAATGTCCACTTCCAGATACTGCAAAGAGAGTGTTTCAAACCTTCTCTACGAAAGGGCATGTTCTCCTCTGTGACGTCAATGCAAACATCCCAAAGAAGTTTCTGAGAATGCTTCTGTCTGGATTTTATCTGAAGACAATCCCGTTTCCAAAGAAATCCTCAAAGATATGCAAATATGCTCCTTCAGATTCTACAAAAGGAGTGTTTCAAAACTGCTCTATGAATAGAAAGGTTCGACTCTGTTAGTAGAGGGCACACATCACAAACAAGTTGCCGAGAAGGCTTCTGTCTGATTTTTATGGGAAGATATTTCCTTTTCCAACACAAGCCTGAATGCGCTCCAAACGGACACTTCGAGATACGACAAAAGGAGTGTTTCAAACCTGTTCTGTGAAAGGGAACGTTCCATTCTGTGACTTGAATGCAAACATCACCAAGTAGTTTCTCAGAACGCTGCTGTCTGCTTTTTATATGTATTCCCGTTTCCAACGAAATCGTCAAAGCCAGCCAAATATCCACTTGCAGGTTCCACAGAAAGATTGTTTCAAAACTGCTTTCTCAAAAGACATGTTCAACTCTGTCAGTTGAGGACACACATCACAAAGAAGTTTCTGAGAATGCTTCTGTCTAGTTTTTATGGGAAGATATTTCCTTTTTCACCATAGGCCTCAAAGCGCTCCAAATGTCCACTTCCAGGGAATGGAAAAAGAGTGTTTCCAACCTGCTCTATGAAAGCCAATGTTCAACTCCGTGACTTGAATGCAACCATCACAAGGAAGTTTCTGAGAATGCTTCTGTCTAGGTTTTATATGAAGATATTCCCGTTTCCAACGAAATCCTCAAAGCTATCCAAATATCCACTTGGAGATTCTACAAAAAGAGTGTTTCAAAACTGCTCTATCAAAAGAAAGGTTCTATTCCGTCAGTTGAGGACACACATCACGAGTAAGTTTCTGACAATGCTTCTGTCTAGTTTTTATGGGAAGATATGTCCTTTTTCACCTTAGGCCGGAAAGCGCTCCAAAAGTCCAGTTACAGACACTACAAAAAGAGTGTTTCAAACCTGCTCTGTGAAAGGGAATGTTCAATTCTGTGACTTGAATGCAAACATCACAAAGAAATTGCTGAGAATGCTGCTGTCTGCTTTTTATACCTTATCGCGTTTCCAACGAAATCCTCAAATCCAGCCAAATATCCACTTGCAGACTCCACAAAAAGAGTGTTTCAAAACTATACTCTCCAAAGAAATGTTCAACTCTGTTAGTTGAGGACACACATCAGAGACTAGCTTCTGAGAATGCTTCTGTCCAGTTGTTACGGGAAGATATTTCCTTTTTCAACATAGGCCTGAAACAGCTTCAAATGTCCGCTTCCAGATACTGCAAAGAGAGTGTTTCAAACCTTCTCTACGAAGGGGCATGTTCTCCTCAGTGACGTCAATGCAAACATCCCAAAGAAGTTTCTGAGAATGCTTCTGTCTGGATTTTATCTGAAGACAATCCCGTTTCCAACGAAATCCTCAAAGATATGCAAATATGCTCCTGCAGATTCTACAAAAAGAGTGTTTCAAAACTGCTCTATGAAAAGAAAAGTTCGACTCTGTTAGTAGAGGGCACACATCACAAACAAGTTGCCGAGAATGCTTCTGTCTGGTTTTTATGGGAAGATATTTCCTTTTCCAACACAAGCCTGAATGCGCTCCAAATGGACACTTCCAGATACGACAAAAGGAGTGTTTCAAACCTGTTCTGTGAAAGGGAACGTTCCATTCTGTGACTTGAATGCAAACATCACCAAGTAGTTTCTCAGAACGCTGCTGTCTGCTTTTTATATGTATTCCCGTTTCCAACGAAATCGTCAAAGCCAGCCAAATATCCACTTGCAGGTTCCACAGAAAGAGTGTTTCAAAACTGCTCTCTCAAAAGACATGTTCAACTCTGTCAGTTGAGGACACACATCACAAAGAAGTTTCTGAGAATGCTTCTGTCTAGTTTTTATGGGAAGATATTTCCTTTTTCACCATAGTCCTCAAAGCGCTCCAAATGTCCACTTCCAGGGAATGGAAAAAGAGTGTTTCCAACCTACTGTATGAAAGCCAATGTTCAACTCCGTGACTTGAATGCAACCATCACAAGGAAGTTTCTGAGAATGCTTCTGTCTAGGTTTTATATGAAGATATTCCCGTTTCCAACGAAATCCTCAAAGCTATCCAAATATCCACTTGGAGATTCTACAAAAAGAGTGTTTCAAAACTGCTCTATCAAAAGAAAGGTTCTACTCCGTCAGTTGAGGACACACATCACGAGTAAGTTTCTGACAATGCTTCTGTCTAGTTTTTATGGGAAGATATGTCCTTTTTCACCTTAGGCCGGAAAGCGCTCCAAAAGTCCAGTTACAGACACTACAAAAAGAGTGTTTCAAACCTGCTATGTGAAAGGGAATGTTCAATTCTGTGACTTGAATGCAAACATCACAAAGAAGTTGCTGAGAATGCTGCTGTCTGCTTTTTATACCTTATCGCGTTTCCAACGAAATCCTCAAATCCAGCCAAATATCCACTTGCAGACTCCACAAAAAGAGTGTTTCAAAACTATACTCTCCAAAGAAATGTTCAACTCTGTTAGTTGAGGACACACATCAGAGACTAGCTTCTGAGAATGCTTCTGTCCAGTTGTTACGGGAAGATATTTCCTTTTTCAACATAGGCCTGAAACCGCTTCAAATGTCCACTTCCTGATACTGCAAAGAGAGTGTTTCAAACCTTCTCTACGAAAGGGCATGTTCTCCTCAGTGACGTCAATGCAAACATCCCAAAGAAGTTTCTTAGAATGCTTCTGTCTGGATTTTATCTGAAGACAATCCCGTTTCCAACGAAATCCTCAAAGATATGCAAATATGCTCCTGCAGATTCTACAAAAAGAGTGTTTCAAAACTGCTCTATGAAAAGAAAGGTTCGACTCTGTTAGTAGAGGACACACATCACAAACAAGTTGCCGAGAATGCTTCTGTCTAGTTTTTATGGGAAGATATTTCCTTTTTCAACACAAGCCTGAATGCACTCCAAAGGGACACTTCCACATACGACAAAAGGAGTTTTTCAAACCTGTTCTATGAAAGAGAACGTTCCATTCTGTGACTTGAATGCAAACATCACCAAGAAGTTTCTCAGAACGCTGCTGTCTATTTTTTATATGTATTCCCGTTTCCAACTAAATCGTCAAAGCCAGCCATATATCCGCTTGCAGATTCCATAAAAAGAGTGTTTCAAAACTGCTCTCTCAAAACAAATGTTCAACTCTGTCATTTGAGGACACACATCACAAATAAGTTTCTGAGAATGCTTCTATCTAGTTTTGATGGGAAGATATTTCCTTTTTCACCATAGGCCTAAAAAGCGCTCCAAATGTCCACTTCCAGGGAATGGAAAAAGAGTGTTTCCAACCTGCTCTATGAAAGCGAATGTTCAACTCCGTGACTTGAATGCAACCATCACAAGGAAGTTTCTGAGAATGCTTCTGTCTAGGTTTTATATGAAGATATTCCCGTTTCCAACGAAATCCTCAAAGCTATCCAAATATCCTCTTGCAGATTTTACAAAAAGAGTGTTTCAAAACTGCTCTATCAAAAGAAAGGTTCAACTCTGTTAGTTGAGGGCACACATCACAAATAAACTTCTGAGAATGCTTCTGTCTAGTTTTTATGGGAAGATATGTCCTTTTTCACCTTAGGCCGGAAAGCGCTCCAAAAGTCCAGTTACAGACACTACAAAAAGAGTGTTTCAAACCTGCTCTGTGAAAGGGAATGTTCAATTCTGTAACTTGAATGCAAAGATCACAAAGAAGTTGCTGAGAATGCTGCTGTCTGCTTTTTATACCTTATCCCGTTTCCAACGAAATCCTCAAATCCAGCCAAATATCCACTTGCAGACTCCACAAAAAGAGTGTTTCAAAACTGTACTGTCAAAAGAAATGTTCAACTCTGTTAGTTGAGGACACACATCAGAGACTAGCTTCTGAGAATGCTTCTGTCCAGTTGTTACGGGAAGATATTTCCTTTTTCAACATAGGCCTGAAACCACTTCAAATGTCCACTTCCAGATACTGCAAAGAGAGTGTTTCAAACCTTCTCTACGAAAGGGCATGTTCTCCTCTGTGACGTCAATGCAAACATCCCAAAGAAGTTTCTGAGAATGCTTCTGTCTGGATTTTATCTGAAGACAATCCCGTTTCCAAAGAAATCCTCAAAGATATGCAAATATGCTCCTTCAGATTCTACAAAAGGAGTGTTTCAAAACTGCTCTATGAATAGAAAGGTTCGACTCTGTTAGTAGAGGGCACACATCACAAACAAGTTGCCGAGAAGGCTTCTGTCTGGTTTTTATGGGAAGATATTTCCTTTTCCAACACAGGCCTGAATGCGCTCCAAATGGACACTTCCAGATACGACAAAAGGAGTGTTTCAAACCTGTTCTGTGAAAGGGAACGTTCCATTCTGTGACTTGAATGCAAACATCACCAAGTAGTTTCTCAGAACGCTGCTGTCTGCTTTTTATATGTATTCCCGTTTCCAACGAAATCGTCAAAGCCAGCCAAATATCCACTTGCAGGTTCCACAGAAAGAGTGTTTCAAAACTGCTCTCTCAAAAGACATGTTCAACTCTGTCAGTTGAGGACACACATCACAAAGAAGTTTCTGAGAATGCTTCTGTCTAGTTTTTATGGGAAGATATTTCCTTTTTCACCATAGGCCTCAAAGCGCTCCAAATGTCCACTTCCAGGGAATGGAAAAAGAGTGTTTCCAACCTACTGTATGAAAGCCAATGTTCAACTCCGTGACTTGAATGCAACCATCACAAGGAAGTTTCTGAGAATGCTTCTGTCTAGGTTTTATATGAAGATATTCCCGTTTCCAACGAAATCCTCAAAGCTATCCAAATATCCACTTGGAGATTCTACAAAAAGAGTGTTTCAAAACTGCTCTATCAAAAGAAAGGTTCTACTCCGTCAGTTGAGGACACACATCACGAGTAAGTTTCTGACAATGCTTCTGTCTAGTTTTTATGGGAAGATATGTCCTTTTTCACCTTAGGCCGGAAAGCGCTCCAAAAGTCCAGTTACAGACACTACAAAAAGAGTGTTTCAAACCTGCTCTGTGAAAGGGAATGTTCAATTCTGTGACTTGAATGCAAACATCACAAAGAAATTGCTGAGAATGCTGCTGTCTGCTTTTTATACCTTATCCCGTTTCCAACGAAATCCTCAAATCCAGCCAAATATCCACTTGCAGACTCCACAAAAAGAGTGTTTCAAAACTATACTCTCCAAAGAAATGTTCAACTCTGTTAGTTGAGGACACACATCAGAGACTAGCTTCTGAGAATGCTTCTGTCCAGTTGTTACGGGAAGATATTTCCTTTTTCAACATAGGCCTGAAACCGCTTCAAATGTCCACTTCCAGATACTGCAAAGAGAGTGTTTCAAACCTTCTCTACGAAAGGGCATGTTCTCCTCAGTGACGTCAATGCAAACATCCCAAAGAAGTTTCTGAGAATGCTTCTGTCTGGATTTTATCTGAGGACAATCCCGTTTCCAACGAAATCCTCAAAGATATGCAAATATGCTCCTGCAGATTCTACAAAAAGAGTGTTTCAAAACTGCTCTATGAAAAGAAAGGTTCGACTCTGTTAGTAGAGGGCACACATCACAAACAAGTTGCCGAGAATGTTTCTGTCTGGTTTTTATGGGAAGATATTTCCTTTTCCAACACAAGCCTGAATGCGCTCCAAATGGACACTTCGAGATACGACAAAAGGAGTGTTTCAAACCTGTTCTGTGAAAGGGAACGTTCCATTCTGTGACTTGAATGCAAACATCACCAAGTAGTTTCTCAGAACGCTGCTGTCTGTTTTTATATGTATTCCCGTTTCCAACGAAATCGTCAAAGCCCGCCAAATATCCACTTGCAGGTTCCACAGAAAGAGTGTTTCAAAACTGCTCTCTCAAAAGACATGTTCAACTCTGTCAGTTGAGGACACACATCACAAAGAAGTTTCTGAGAATGCTTCTGTCTAGTTTTTATGGGAAGATATTTCCTTTTTCACCATAGGCCTCAAAGCGCTCCAAATGTCCACTTCCAGGGAATGGAAAAAGAGTGTTTCCAACCTGCTCTATGAAAGCCAATGTTCAACTCCGTGACTTGAATGCAACCATCACAAGGAAGTTTCTGAGAATGCTTCTGTCTAGGTTTTATATGAAGATATTCCCGTTTCCAACGAAATCCTCAAAGCTATCCAAATATCCACTTGGAGATTCTACAAAAAGAGTGTTTCAAAACTGCTCTATCAAAAGAAAGGTTCTACTCCGTCAGTTGAGGACACACATCACGAGTAAGTTTCTGACAATGCTTCTGTCAAGTTTTTATGGGAAGATATGTCCTTTTTCACCTTAGGCCGGAAAGCGCTCCAAAAGTCCAGTTACAGACACTACAAAAAGAGTGTTTCAAACCTGCTATGTGAAAGGGAATGTTCAATTCTGTGACTTGAATGCAAACATCACAAAGAAGTTGCTGAGAATGCTGCTGTCTGCTTTTTATACGTAATCCCGTTTCCAACGAAATCCTCAAATCTAGCCAAATATCCACTTGCAGACTCCACAAAAAGAGTGTTTCAAAACTCTTCTGTCTAAAGAAATGTTCAACTCTGTTAGTTGAGGACACACATCATAGACTAGCTTCTGAAAATGCTTCTGTCCAGTTGTTACGGGAAGATATTTCCTTTTTCAACATAGGCCTGAAACCGCTCCAAATGTCCACTTCCAGATACTACAAAAAGAGTGTTTCAAACCTTCTCTACGAAAGGGCATGTTCTCCCCTGCGAGTTGAATGGAAACATCCCAGCGAAGTTTCTGAGAATGCTTCTGTCTGGATTTTATCTGAAGACAATCCCGTTTCCAACGAAATCCTCAAAGCTATGCAAATATCCTCCTGCAGATTCTACAAAAAGAGTGTTTCAAAACTGCTCTATGAAAAGAAAGGTTCAACTCTGTTAGTAGAGGGCACACATCACAAACAAGTTGCTGAGAATGCTTCTGTCTGATTTTTTTGGGAAGATATTTCCTTTTCCAACACAAGCCTGAATGCGCTCCAAATGGACACTTCCAGATACGACAAAAGGAGTGTTTCAAACCTGTTCTGTGAAAGGGAACGGTTCCATTCTGTGACTTGAATGCAAACATCACCAAGTAGTTTCTCAGAACGCAGCTGTCTGCTTTTTATATGTATTCCCGTTTCCAACGAAATCGTCAAAGTCAGCCAAATATCCACTTGCAGGTTCCACAGAAAGAGTGTTTCAGAACTGCTCTCTCAAAAGACATGTTCAACTCTGTCAGTTGAGGACACACATCACAAAGAAGTTTCTGAGAATGCTTCTGTCTAGTTTTTATGGGAAGATATTTCCTTTTTCACCATAGGCCTCAAAGCGCACCAAATGTCCACTTCCAGGGAATGGAAAAAGAGTGTTTCCAACCTGCTCTATGAAAGCCAATGTTCAACTCCGTGACTTGAATGCAACCATCACAAGGAAGTTTCTGAGAATGCTTCTGTCTAGGTTTTATATGAAGATATTCCCGTTTCCAACGAAATCCTCAAAGCTATCCAAATATCCACTTGGAGATTCTACAAAAAGAGTGTTTCAAAACTGCTCTATCAAAAGAAAGGTTCTACTCCGTCAGTTGAGGACACACATCACGAGTAAGTTTCTGACAATGCTTCTGTCTAGTTTTTATGGGAAGATATGTCCTTTTTCACCTTAGGCCGGAAAGCGCTCCAAAAGTCCAGTTACAGACACTACAAAAAGAGTGTTTCAAACCTGCTCTGTGAAAGGGAATGTTCAATTCTGTGACTTGAATGCAAACATCACAAAGAAATTGCTGAGAATGCTGCTGTCTGCTTTTTATACCTTATCCCGTTTCCAACGAAATCCTCAAATCCAGCCAAATATCCACTTGCAGACTCCACAAAAAGAGTGTTTCAAAACTATACTCTCCGAAGAAATGTTCAACTCTGTTAGTTGAGGACACACATCAGAGACTAGCTTCTGAGAATGCTTCTGTCCAGTTGTTACGGGAAGATATTTCCTTTTTCAACATAGGCCTGAAACCGCTTCAAATGTCCACTTCCAGATACTGCAAAGAGAGTGTTTCAAACCTTCTCTACGAAAGGGTATGTTCTCCTCAGTGACGTCAATGCAAACATCCCAAAGAAGTTTCTGAGAATGCTTCTGTCTGGATTTTATCTGAAGACAATCCCGTTTCCAACGAAATCCTCAAAGATATGCAAATATGCTCCTGCAGATTCTACAGAAAGAGTGTTTCAAAACTGCTCTATGAATAGAAAGGTTCGACTCTGTTAGTAGAGGGCACACATCACAAACAAGTTGCCGAGAAGGCTTCTGTCTGGTTTTTATGGGAAGATATTTCCTTTTCCAACACAAGCCTGAATGCGCTCCAAATGGACACTTCCAGATACGACAAAAGGAGTGTTTCAAACCTGTTCTGTGAAAGGGAACGTTCCATTCTGTGACTTGAATGCAAACATCACCAAGTAGTTTCTCAGAACGCTGCTGTCTGCTTTTTATATGTATTCCCGTTTCCAACGAAATCGTCAAAGCCAGCCAAATATCCACTTGCAGGTTCCACAGAAAGAGTGTTTCAGAACTGCTCTCTCAAAAGACATGTTCAACTCTGTCAGTTGAGGACACACATCACAAAGAAGTTTCTGAGAATGCTTCTGTCTAGTTTTTATGGGAAGATGTTTCCTTTTTCACCATAGGCCTCAAAGCGCTCCAAATGTCCACTTCCAGGGAATGGAAAAAGAGTGTTTCCAACCTGCTCTATGAAAGCCAATGTTCAACTCCGTGACTTGAATGCAACCATCACAAGGAAGTTTCTGAGAATGCTTCTGTCTAGGTTTTATATGAAGATATTCCCGTTTCCAACGAAATCCTCAAAGCTATCCAAATATCCACTTGGAGATTCTACAAAAAGAGTGTTTCAAAACTGCTCTATCAAAAGAAAGGTTCTACTCCGTCAGTTGAGGACACACATCACGAGTAAGTTTCTGACAATGCTTCTGTGTAGTTTTTATGGGAAGATATGTCCTTTTTCACCTTAGGCCGGAAAGCGCTCCAAAAGTCCAGTTACAGACACTACAAAAAGAGTGTTTCAAACCTGCTCTGTGAAAGGGAATGTTCAATTCTGTGACTTGAATGCAAACATCACAAAGAAATTGCTGAGAATGCTGCTGTCTGCTTTTTATACCTTATCGCGTTTCCAACGAAATCCTCAAATCCAGCCAAATATCCACTTGCAGACTCCACAAAAAGAGTGTTTCAAAACTATACTCTCCAAAGAAATGTTCAACTCTGTTAGTTGAGGACACACATCAGAGACTAGCTTCTGAGAATGCTTCTGTCCAGTTGTTACGGGAAGATATTTCCTTTTTCAACATAGGCCTGAAACCGCTTCAAATGTCCGCTTCCAGATACTGCAAAGAGAGTGTTTCAAACCTTCTCTACGAAGGGGCATGTTCTCCTCAGTGACGTCAATGCAAACATCCCAAAGAAGTTTCTGAGAATGCTTCTGTCTGGATTTTATCTGAAGACAATCCCGTTTCCAACGAAATCCTCAAAGATATGCAAATATGCTCCTGCAGATTCTACAAAAAGAGTGTTTCAAAACTGCTCTATGAAAAGAAAGGTTCGACTCTGTTAGTAGAGGGCACACATCACAAACAAGTTGCCGAGAATGCTTCTGTCTGGTTTTTATGGGAAGATATTTCCTTTTCCAACACAAGCCTGAATGCGCTCCAAATGGACACTTCCAGATACGACAAAAGGAGTGTTTCAAACCTGTTCTGTGAAAGGGAACGTTCCATTCTGTGACTTGAATGCAAACATCACCAAGTAGTTTCTCAGAACGCTGCTGTCTGCTTTTTATATGTATTCCCGTTTCCAACGAAATCGTCAAAGCCAGCCAAATATCCACTTGCAGGCTCCACAGAAAGAGTGTTTCAAAACTGCTCTCTCAAAAGACATGTTCAACTCTGTCAGTTGAGGACACACATCACAAAGAAGTTTCTGAGAATGCTTCTGTCTAGTTTTTATGGGAAGATATTTCCTTTTTCACCAAAGGCCTCAAAGCGCTCCAAATGTCCACTTCCAGGGAATGGAAAAAGAGTGTTTCCAACCTGCTCTATGAATGCCAATGTTCAACTCCGTGACTTGAATGCAACCATCACAAGGAAGTTTCTGAGAATGCTTCTGTCTAGGTTTTATATGAAGATATTCCCGTTTCCAACGAAATCCTCAAAGCTATCCAAATATCCACTTGGAGATTCTACAAAAAGAGTGTTTCAAAACTGCTCTATCAAAAGAAAGGTTCTACTCCGTCAGTTGAGGACACACATCACGAGTAAGTTTCTGACAATGCTTCTGTCTAGTTTTTATGGGAAGATATGTCCTTTTTCACCTTAGGCCGGAAAGCGCTCCAAAAGTCCAGTTACAGACACTACAAAAAGAGTGTTTCAAACCTGCTCTGTGAAAGGGAATGTTCAATTCTGTAACTTGAATGCAAAGATCACAAAGAAGTTGCTGAGAATGCTGCTGTCTGCTTTTTGTACCTTATCCCGTTTCCAACGAAATCCTCAAATCCAGCCAAATATCCACTTGCAGACTCCACAAAAAGAGTGTTTCAAAACTATACTCTCCAAAGAAATGTTCAACTCTGTTAGTTGAGGACACACATCAGAGACTAGCTTCTGAGAATGCTTCTGTCCAGTTGTTACGGGAAGATATTTCCTTTTTCAACATAGGCCTGAAACCGCTTCAAATGTCCACTTCCAGATACTGCAAAGAGAGTGTTTCAAACCTTCTCTACGAAAGGGCATGTTCTCCTCAGTGACGTCAATGCAAACATCCCAAAGAAGTTTCTGAGAATGCTTCTGTCTGGATTTTATCTGAGGACAATCCCGTTTCCAACGAAATCCTCAAAGATATGCAAATATGCTCCTGCAGATTCTACAAAAAGAGTGTTTCAAAACTGCTCTATGAAAAGAAAGGTTCGACTCTGTTAGTAGAGGGCACACATCACAAACAAGTTGCCGAGAATGTTTCTGTCTGGTTTTTATGGGAAGATATTTCCTTTTCCAACACAAGCCTGAATGCGCTCCAAATGGACACTTCGAGATACGACAAAAGGAGTGTTTCAAACCTGTTCTGTGAAAGGGAACGTTCCATTCTGTGACTTGAATGCAAACATCACCAAGTAGTTTCTCAGAACGCTGCTGTCTGTTTTTATATGTATTCCCGTTTCCAACGAAATCGTCAAAGCCCGCCAAATATCCACTTGCAGGTTCCACAGAAAGAGTGTTTCAAAACTGCTCTCTCAAAAGACATGTTCAACTCTGTCAGTTGAGGACACACATCACAAAGAAGTTTCTGAGAATGCTTCTGTCTAGTTTTTATGGGAAGATATTTCCTTTTTCACCATAGGCCTCAAAGCGCTCCAAATGTCCACTTCCAGGGAATGGAAAAAGAGTGTTTCCAACCTACTGTATGAAAGCCAATGTTCAACTCCGTGACTTGAATGCAACCATCACAAGGAAGTTTCTGAGAATGCTTCTGTCTAGGTTTTATATGAAGATATTCCCGTTTCCAACGAAATCCTCAAAGCTACCCAAATATCCACTTGGAGATTCTACAAAAAGAGTGTTTCAAAACTGCTCTATCAAAAGAAAGGTTCTACTCCGTCAGTTGAGGACACACATCACGAGTAAGTTTCTGACAATGCTTCTGTCTAGTTTTTATGGGAAGATATGTCCTTTTTCACCTTAGGCCGGAAAGCGCTCCAAAAGTCCAGTTACAGACACTACAAAAAGAGTGTTTCAAACCTGCTCTGTGAAAGGGAATGTTCAATTCTGTGACTTGAATGCAAACATCACAAAGAAGTTGCTGAGAATGCTGCTGTCTGCTTTTTATACCTTATCCCGTTTCCAACGAAATCCTCAAATCCAGCCAAATATCCACTTGCAGACTCCACAAAAAGAGTGTTTCAAAACTGTACTGTCAAAAGAAATGTTCAACTCTGTTAGTTGAGGACACACATCAGAGACTAGCTTCTGAGAATGCTTCTGTCCAGGTGTTCCGGGAAGATATTTGCTTTTTCAACATAGTCCTGAAACCGCTCCAAATGTCCACTTTCAGATACTACAAAAACAGTGTTTGAAAACTTCTCTACGAAAAGGCATGTTCTCCTCTGTGACTTGAATGCAAACATCCCAAAAAAGTTTCTGAGAGTGCTTCTGTCTGGATTATATCTGAAGACAATCCCGTTTCCAACGAAATCCTCAAAGCTATGCAAATATCCTCCTCCAGATTCTACAAAAAGAGTGTTTCAAAACTAGTCTATGAAAAGAAAGGTTCAACTCTGTTAGTAGAGGGCACACATCACAAACAAGTTGCTGAGAATGCTTCTGTCTAGTTTTTATGGGAAGATATTTCCTTTTTCAACACAAGCCTGAATGCGCTCTAAATGGACACTTGCAGATACGACAAAAGGAGTGTTTCAAACCTGTTCTATGAAAGGGAACGTTCCATTCTGTGACTTGAATGCAAACATCACCAAGAAGTTTCTCAGAACGCTGCTGTCTGCTTTTTATATGTATTCCCGTTTCCAACGAAATCGTCAAAGCCAGCCAAATATCCACTTGCAGGTTCCACAAAAAGAGTGTTTCAAAACTGCTCTCTCAAAAGAAATGTTCAACTCTGTTAGTTGAGGACACACATCACAAATAAGTTTCTGAGAATGCTTCTGTCTAGTTTTTATGGGAAGATAATTCCTTTTTCACCATAGGCCTCGAAGCGCTCCAAATGTCCACTTCCAGGGAATGGAAAAAGAGTGTTTCCAACCTGCTCTATGAAACCGAATGTTCAACTCTGTGACTTTAATGCAACCATCACAAGGAAGTTTCTGAGAATGCTTCTCTCTAGATTTTATATGAAGATATTCCCGTTTCCAACGAAATCCACAAAGCTATCGAAGTATCCACTTGCAGATTCTACAAAAAGAGTGTTTCAAAACTGCTCTATCAAAAGAAAGGTTCTACCCCTTTAGTTGAGGACACACATCACGAGTAAGTTTCTGAGAATGCTTCTGTGTAGTTTTTATGGGAAGATATGTCCTTTTTCACCTTAGGCCGGAAAGCGCTCCAAACGTCCACTTACAGACACTACAAAAAGAGGGTTTCAAACCTGATCTGTGAAAGGGAATGTTCAATTCTGTGACTTGAATGCAAACATCACAAAGAAGTTTCTGAGAATGCTGCTGTCTGCTTTTTATATGTAATCCCGTTTCCAACGAAATGCTCAAATCTAGCCAAATATCCACTTGCAAATTCCACAAAAAGAGTGTTTCAAAACTGTTCTGTCTAAAGAAATGTTCAACTGTGTTAGTTGAGGACACACATCAGAAACTAGTTTCTGAGAATGCTTCTGTCTAGTTGTTATGGGAAGATATATCCTTTTTCAACACAAGCCTGAATGCGCTCCGAATGGACACTTCCAGATATGAGAAAAGGAGTGTTTCAAACCTGTTCCATCAAAGGGAATGTTCAATTCTGTGACTTGAATGCAAACATCACCAAGACGTTTCTCAGAACGCTGCTGTCTGCTTTTTATATGTATTCCCGTGTCCAACGAAATCGTCAAAGCCAGCCAAATATCCACTTGCAGGTTCCACAAAAAGAGTGTTTCAAAACTGCTCTCTCAAAAGACATGTTCAACTCTGTCAGTTGAGGACACACATCACAAAGAAGTTTCTGAGAATGCTTCTGTCTAGTTTTTATGGGAAGATATTTCCTTTTTCACCATAGGCCTCAAAGCGCTCCAAATGTCCACTTCCAGGGAATGGAAAAAGAGTGTTTCCAACCTGCTCTATGAATGCCAATGTTCAACTCCGTGACTTGAATGCAACCATCACAAGGAAGTTTCTGAGAATGCTTCTGTCTAGGTTTTATATGAAGATATTCCCGTTTCCAACGAAATCCTCAAAGCTATCCAAATATCCACTTGGAGATTCTACAAAAAGAGTGTTTCAAAACTGCTCTATCAAAAGAAAGGTTCTACTACGTCAGTTGAGGACACACATCACGAGTAAGTTTCTGACAATGCTTCTGTCTAGTTTTTATGGGAAGATATGTCCTTTTTCACCTTAGGCCGGAAAGCGCTCCAAAAGTCCAGTTACAGACACTACAAAAAGAGTGTTTCAAACCTGCTCTGTGAAAGGGAATGTTCAATTCTGTGACTTGAATGCAAACATCACAAAGAAATTGCTGAGAATGCTGCTGTCTGCTTTTTATACCTTATCGCGTTTTCAACGAAATCCTCAAATCCAGCCAAATATCCACTTGCAGACTCCACAAAAAGAGTGTTTCAAAACTATACTCTCCAAAGAAATGTTCAACTCTGTTAGTTGAGGACACACATCAGAGACTAGCTTCTGAGAATGCTTCTGTCCAGTTGTTACGGGAAGATATTTCCTTTTTCAACATAGGCCTGAAACAGCTTCAAATGTCCGCTTCCAGATACTGCAAAGAGAGTGTTTCAAACCTTCTCTACGAAGGGGCATGTTCTCCTCAGTGACGTCAATGCAAACATCCCAAAGAAGTTTCTGAGAATGCTTCTGTCTGGATTTTATCTGAAGACAATCCCGTTTCCAACGAAATCCTCAAAGATATGCAAATATGCTCCTGCAGATTCTACAAAAAGAGTGTTTCAAAACTGCTCTATGAAAAGAAAGGTTCGACTCTGTTAGTAGAGGGCACACATCACAAACAAGTTGCCGAGAATGCTTCTGTCTGGATTTTATGGGAAGATATTTCCTTTTCCAACACAAGCCTGAATGCGCTCCAAATGGACACTTCCAGATACGACAAAAGGAGTGTTTCAAACCTGTTCTGTGAAAGGGAACGTTCCATTCTGTGACTTGAATGCAAACATCACCAAGTAGTTTCTCAGAACGCTGCTGTCTGCTTTTTATATGTATTCCCGTTTCCAACGAAATCGTCAAAGCCAGCCAAATATCCACTTGCAGGTTCCACAGAAAGAGTGTTTCAAAACTGCTCTCTCAAAAGACATGTTCAACTCTGTCAGTTGAGGACACACATCACAAAGAAGTTTCTGAGAATGCTTCTGTCTAGTTTTTATGGGAAGATATTTCCTTTTTCACCATAGGCCTCAAAGCGCTCCAAATGTCCACTTCCAGGGAATGGAAAAAGAGTGTTTCCAACCTGCTCTATGAAAGCCAATGTTCAACTCCGTGACTTGAATGCAACCATCACAAGGAAGTTTCTGAGAATGCTTCTGTCTAGGTTTTATATGAAGATATTCCCGTTTCCAACGAAATCCTCAAAGCTATCCAAATATCCACTTGGAGATTCTACAAAAAGAGTGTTTCAAAACTGCTCTATCAAAAGAAAGGTTCTACTCCGTCAGTTGAGGACACACATCACGAGTAAGTTTCTGACAATGCTTCTGTCTAGTTTTTATGGGAAGATATGTCCTTTTTCACCTTAGGCCGGAAAGCGCTCCAAAAGTCCAGTTACAGACACTACAAAAAGAGTGTTTCAAACCTGCTATGTGAAAGGGAATGTTCAATTCTGTGACTTGAATGCAAACATCACAAAGAAGTTGCTGAGAATGCTGCTGTCTGCTTTTTATACGTAATCCCGTTTCCAACGAAATCCTCAAATCTAGCCAAATATCCACTTGCAGACTCCACAAAAAGAGTGTTTCAAAACTCTTCTGTCTAAAGAAATGTTCAACTCTGTTAGTTGAGGACACACATCATAGACTAGCTTCTGAAAATGCTTCTGTCCAGTTGTTACGGGAAGATATTTCCTTTTTCAACATAGGCCTGCAACCGCTCCAAATGTCCACTTCCAGATACTACAAAAAGTGTGTTTCAAACCTTCTCTACGAAAGGGCATGTTCTCCTCTGTGACTTGAATGGAAACATCCCAGCGAAGTTTCTGAGAATGCTTCTGTCTGGATTTTATCTGAAGACAATCCCGTTTCCAACGAAATCCTCAAAGCTATGCAAATATCCTCCTGCAGATTCTACAAAAAGAGTGTTTCAAAACTGCTCTATGAAAAGAAAGGTTCAACTCTGTTAGTAGAGGGCACACATCACAAACAAGTTGCTGAGAATGCTTCTGTCTAGTTTTTATGGGAAGATATTTCCTTTTTCAACACAAGCCTGAATGCGCTCCAAATGGACACTTCCAGATACGACAAAAGGAGAGTTTCAAACCTCTTCTATGAAAGGGAACGTTCCATTCTGTGACTTGAATGCAAACATCACCAAGAACTTCCTCAGAACGCTGCTGTCTGCTTTTTATATGTATTCCCGTTTCCAACGAAGTCGTCAACGCCAGCCAAATATCCACTTGCAGATTCCACAAAAAGAGTGTTTCAAAACTGCTCTCTCAAAAGAAATGTTCAACTCTGTCAGTTGAGAACACACATCACAAATAAGTTTCTGAGAATGCTTCTGTCTAGTTTTGAAGAGAAGATATTTCCTTTTTCACCATAGGCCTCAAAGCGCTCCAAATGTCCACTTCCAGGGAATGCTAAAAGAATGTTTCCAACCTGCTCTATGAAAGGGAATGTTCAACTCCGTGACTTGAATGCAACCATCACAAGGAAGTTTCTGAGAATTCTTCTGTCTTGATTTTATATGAAGATATTCCCGTTTCCAATGAAATCCTCAAAGCTATCCAAATATACACTTGCAGATTCTACAAAAAGAGTGTTTCACTACTGCTCTATCAAAAGAAAGTTTCTACTCCGTTAGTTGAGGACACACATCACGAGTAAGTTTCTGAGAATGCTTCTGTCTAGTTTTTATGGGAAGATATGTCCTTTTTCACCTTAGGCCGGAAAGCGCTCCAAATGTCCACTTACAGACACTACAAAAAGTGTGTTTCAAACCTGCTCTGTGAAAGGGAATGTTCAATTCTGTGACTTGAATGCAAACATCACAAAGTAGTTTCTGAGAATGCTTCTGTCTAGATTTTATATGAAGATATTCCCGTTTCCAATGAAATCCTCACAGCTATCCAAATATCCACTTGCAGACTCCACAAAAAGAGTGTTTCAAAACTTTTCTGTCTACACAAATCTTCAACTCTGTTAGTTGAGGACACACATTAGAGACTATCTTCTGAGAATGCTTCTGTCCAGTTTTTAAGGGAAGATATTTCCTTTTTCAACTTAGGCCTGAAACTTCTCCAAATGTCCACTTCCAGATACTAGAAAGAGTATGTTTCAAGCCTTCTCTACGAAAGGGCATGTTCTCCTCTGTGACTTGTATGCAAACATCCCAGCGAAGTTTCTGAGAATGCTTCTGTCTGGATTTTATCTGAAGACAATCCCATTTCCAACGAAATCCTCAAAGCTATGCAAATATCCTCCTGCAGATTCTACAAAAAGAGTGTTTCAAAACTGCTCTATGAAAAGAAAGGTTCAACTCTGTTAGTAGAGGGCACACATCACAAACAAGTTGCTGAGAATGCTTCTGTCTAGTTTTTATGGGAAGATATTTCCTTTTTCAACACAAGCCTGAATGCGCTCGAAATGGACACTTCCAGTTACGACAAAAGGAGAGTTTCAAACCTGTTCTATGAAAGGGAACTTTCCATTCAGTGACTTGAATGCAAACATCACCAAGAAGTTTCTCAGAACGCTGCTGTCTGCTTTTTATATGTATTCCCGTTTCCAACGAAATCGTCAAAGCCAGCCAAATATCCACTTGCAGGTTCCACAGAAAGAGTGTTTCAAAACTGCTCTCTCAAAAGACATGTTCAACTCTGTCAGTTGAGGACACACATCACAATGAAGTTTCTGAGAATGCTTCTGTCTAGTTTTTATGGGAAGATATTTCCTTTTTCACCATAGGCCTCAAAGCGCTCCAAATGTCCACTTCCAGGGAATGGAAAAAGAGTGTTTCCAACCTGCTCTATGAAAGCCAATGTTCAACTCCGTGACTTGAATGCAACCATCACAAGGAAGTTTCTGAGAATGCTTCTGTCTAGGTTTTATATGAAGATATTCCCGTTTCCAACGAAATCCTCAAAGCTATCCAAATATCCACTTGGAGATTCTACAAAAAGAGTGTTTCAAAACTGCTCTATCAAAAGAAAGGTTCTACTCCGTCAGTTGAGGACACACATCACGAGTAAGTTTCTGACAATGCTTCTGTCTAGTTTTTATGGGAAGATATGTCCTTTTTCACCTTAGGCCGGAAAGCGCTCCAAAAGTCCAGTTACAGACACTACAAAAAGAGTGTTTCAAACCTGCTCTGTGAAAGGGAATGTTCAATTCTGTGACTTGAATGCAAACATCACAGAGAAATTGCTGAGAATGCTGCTGTCTGCTTTTTATACCTTATCCCGTTTCCAACGAAATCCTCAAATCCAGCCAAATATCCACTTGCAGACTCCACAAAAAGAGTGTTTCAAAACTATACTCTCCAAAGAAATGTTCAACTCTGTTAGTTGAGGACACACATCAGAGACTAGCTTCTGAGAATGCTTCTGTCCAGTTGTTACGGGAAGATATTTCCTTTTTCAACATAGGCCTGAAACCGCTTCAAATGTCCACTTCCAGATACTGCAAAGAGAGTGTTTCAAACCTTCTCTACGAAAGGGCATGTTCTCCTCAGTGACGTCAATGCAAACATCCCAAAGAAGTTTCTGAGAATGCTTCTGTCTGGATTTTATCTGAAGACAATCCCGTTTCCAACGAAATCCTCAAAGATATGCAAATATGCTCCTGCAGATTCTACAGAAAGAGTGTTTCAAAACTGCTCTATGAATAGAAAGGTTCGACTCTGTTAGTAGAGGGCACACATCACAAACAAGTTGCCGAGAAGGCTTCTGTCTGGTTTTTATGGGAAGATATTTCCTTTTCCAACACAAGCCTGAATGCGCTCCAAATGGACACTTCCAGATACGACAAAAGGAGTGTTTCAAACCTGTTCTGTGAAAGGGAACGTTCCATTCTGTGACTTGAATGCAAACATCACCAAGTAGTTTCTCAGAACGCTGCTGTCTGCTTTTTATATGTATTCCCGTTTCCAACGAAATCGTCAAAGCCAGCCAAATATCCACTTGCAGGTTCCACAGAAAGAGTGTTTCAAAACTGCTCTCTCAAAAGACATGTTCAACTCTGTCAGTTGAGGACACACATCACAAAGAAGTTTCTGAGAATGCTTCTGTCTAGTTTTTATGGGAAGATATTTCCTTTTTCACCATAGGCCTCAAAGCGCTCCAAATGTCCACTTCCAGGGAATGGAAAAAGAGTGTTTCCAACCTGCTCTATGAAAGCCAATGTTCAACTCCGTGACTTGAATGCAACCATCACAAGGAAAGTTTCTGAGAATGCTTCTGTCTAGGTTTTATATGAAGATATTCCCGTTTCCAACGAAATCCTCAAAGCTATCCAAATATCCACTTGGAGATTCTACAAAAAGAGTGTTTCAAAACTGCTCTATCAAAAGAAAGGTTCTACTCCGTCAGTTGAGGACACACATCACGAGTAAGTTTCTGACAATGCTTCTGTCTAGTTTTTATGGGAAGATATGTCCTTTTTCACCTTAGGCCGGAAAGCGCTCCAAAAGTCCAGTTACAGACACTACAAAAAGAGTGTTTCAAACCTGCTCTGTGAAAGGGAATGTTCAATTCTGTGACTTGAATGCAAACATCACAAAGAAGTTGCTGAGAATGCTGCTGTGTGCTTTTTATATGTAATCCCGTTTCCAACGAAATGCTCAAATCTAGCCAAATATCCACTTGCAGATTCCACAAAAAGAGTGTTTCAAAACTGTTCTGTCTAAAGAAATGTTCAACTGTGTTAGTTGAGGACACACATCAGAAACTAGTTTCTGAGAATGCTTCTGTCTAGTTTTTATGGGAAGATATTTCCTTTTTCAACACAAGCCAGAATGCGCTACAAATGGACACTTCCAGATACGACAAAAGGGGAGTTTCAAACCTGTTCTATGAAAGGGAACGTTCCATTCTGTGACTTGAATGCAAACATCACCAAGAAGTTTCTCAGAACGCTGCTGTCTGCTTTTTATATGTATTCCCGTTTCCAACGAAATCCTCAAAGCCAGCCAAATATCCACTTGCAGATTCCACAAAAAGAGTGTTTCAAAACTCCTCTCTCAAAAGAAATGTTCAACTCTGTCAGTTGAGGACACACATCACAAATAAGTTTCTGAGAATGCTTCTGTGTAGTTTTTTTGAGAAGATATTTCTTTTTTCACCATAGGCCTCAAAGCGCTCCAAATGTCCACTTCCAGGTAATGGAAAAAGAGTGTTTCAAACATGCTCTATGAAAGCGAATGTTCAACTCTGTGACTTGAATGCAACCATCACAAGGAAGTTTCTGATAATACTTCTCTCTAGATTTTATATGAAGATATTCCCGTTTCCAACGAAATCCACAAAGCTATCGAAATATCCACTTGCAGATTCTACAAAAAGAGTGTTTCAAAACTGCTCTATCAAAAGAAAGGTTCTACCCCTTTAGTTGAGGACACACATCACGAGTAAGTTTCTGAGAATGCTTCTGTCTAGTTTTTATGGGAAGATATTTCCTTTTTCACCTGAGGCCGGAAAGCGCTCCAAATGTCCACTTCCAGATACTACAAAAGGAGTGATTCAAACCTGCTCTATGATAGGGAACGTTCAACTCTGTGTCCTGAATACAAACATCACTAAGATGTTTCTCAGAACGCTGCTGTGTGCTTTTTATATGTAATCCCGTTTCCAACGAAATGCTCAAATCTAGCCAAATATCCACTTGCAGATTCCACAAAAAGAGTGTTTCAAAACTGTTCTGTCTAAAGAAATGTTCAACTGTGTTAGTTGAGGACACACATCAGAAACTAGTTTCTGAGAATGCTTCTGTCTAGTTGTTATGGGAAGATATTTCCTTTTTCAACACAAGCCTGAATGCGCTCCAAATGGACACTTCCAGATATGAGAAAAGGAGTGTTTCAACCCTGTTCTATCAAAGGGAATGTTCAATTCTGTGACTTGAATGCAAACATCACCAAGAAGTTTCTCAGAACGCTGCTGTCTGCTTTTTATATGTATTCCCGTGTCCAACAAAGTCGTCAAAGCCAGCCAAATATCCACTTGCAGATTCCACAAAAAGAGTGTTTCAAAACTGCTCTCTCAAAAGAAATGTTCAACTCTGTCAGTTGAGGACACACATCACAAATAAGTTTCTGAGAATGCTTCTGTCTAGTTTTGATGGGAAGATATTTCCTTTTTCACCATAGGCCTCGAAGCGCTCCAAATGTCCACTTCCAGGGAATGGAAAAAGAGTGTTTCCAACCTGCTCTATGAAAGTGAATGTTCAACCCCGTGACTTGAATGCAACCATCACAAGGAAGTTTCTGAGAATTCTTCTCTCTAGATTTTATATGAAGATATTCCCGTTTCCAACGAAATCCACAAAGCTATCGAAATATCCACTTGCAGATTCTACAAAAAGAGTGTTTCAAAACTGCTCTATCAAAAGAAAGGTTCTACCCCTTTAGTTGAGGACACACATCACGAGTAAGTTTCTGAGAATGCTTCTGTCTAGTTTTTATGGGAAGATATGTCCTTTTTCACCTTAGGCCGGAAAGCGCTCCAAAGGTCCACTTACAGACACTACAAAAAGAGTGTTTCAAACCTGCTCTGTGAAAGGGAATGTTCAATTCTGTGACTTGAATGCAAGCATCACAAAGAAGTTTCTGAGAATGCTGCTGTCGGCTTTTTATACGTAATCCGGTTTCCAACGAAATCCTAAAAATCTAGCCAAATATCCACTTGCAGACTCCACAAAAAGAGTGTTTCAAAACTGTTCTGTCTAAAGAAATGTTCAACTCTGTTAGTTGAGGACACACATGAGAGACTAGCTTCTGATAATGCTTCTGTCCAGTTGTTACGGGAAGATATTTCCTTTTTCAACATAGGCCTGAAACCGCTCCAAATGTCCACTTCCAGATACTACAAAAAGAGTGTTTCAAACCTTCTCTACGAAAGGGCATGTTCTCCTCTGTGACTTGAATGGAAACATCCCAAAGAAGGTTCTGAGAATGCTTCTGTCTGGATTTTATCTGAAGACAATCCCGTTTCCAACGAAATCCTCAAACTATGCAAATATCCTCCTGCAGATTCTACAAAAAGAGTGTTTCAAAACTGCTCTATGAAAAGAAAGGTTCAACTCTGTTAGTAGAGGGCACACATCACAAACAAGTTGCTGAGAATGCTTTTGTCTGTATTTTATAGGAAGATATTTCCTTTTTCAACACAAGCCTTAATGCGCTCCAAATGGACACTTCCAGATACGACAAAAGGAGTGTTTCAAACCTGTTCTATGAAAGGGAACGTTCCATTCCGTGACTTGAATGCAAACATCACCAAGAAGTTTCTCAGAACGCTGCTGTCTGCTTTTTATATGTATTTCCGTTTCCAACGAAATCGTCAAAGCCAGCCAAATATCCACTTGCAGATTCCACAAAAAGAGTGTTTCAATTCTGCTCCCTCAAAAGAAATGTTCAACTCTGTCAGTTGAGGATACACATCACAAAAAAGTTTCTGAGAATGCTTCTGTCTAGTTTTTATGGGAAGATATTTCCTTTTTCACCATAGGCCTCAAAGCGCTCCAAATGTCCACTTCCAGGGAATGGAAAAAGAGTGTTTCCAACCTGCTCTATGAATGCCAATGTTCAACTCCGTGACTTGAATGCAACCATCACAAGGAAGTTTCTGAGAATGCTTCTGTCTAGGTTTTATATGAAGATATTCCCGTTTCCAACGAAATCCTCAAAGCTATCCAAATATCCACTTGGAGATTCTACAAAAAGAGTGTTTCAAAACTGCTCTATCAAAAGAAACGTTCTACTCCGTCAGTTGAGGACACACATCACGAGTAAGTTTCTGACAATGCTTCTGTCTAGTTTTTATGGGAAGATATGTCCTTTTTCACCTTAGGCCGGAAAGCGCTCCAAAAGTCCAGTTACAGACACTACAAAAAGAGTGTTTCAAACCTGCTCTGTGAAAGGGAATGTTCAATTCTGTAACTTGAATGCAAAGATCACAAAGAAGTTGCTGAGAATGCTGCTGTCTGCTTTTTGTACCTTATCCCGTTTCCAACGAAATCCTCAAATCCAGCCAAATATCCACTTGCAGACTCCACAAAAAGAGTGTTTCAAAACTATACTCTCCAAAGAAATGTTCAACTCTGTTAGTTGAGGACACACATCAGAGACTAGCTTCTGAGAATGCTTCTGTCCAGTTGTTACGGGAAGATATTTCCTTTTTCAACATAGGCCTGAAACCGCTTCAAATGTCCACTTCCAGATACTGCAAAGAGAGTGTTTCAAACCTTCTCTACGAAAGGGCATGTTCTCCTCAGTGACGTCAATGCAAACATCCCAAAGAAGTTTCTGAGAATGCTTCTGTCTGGATTTTATCTGAAGACAATCCCGTTTCCAACGAAATCCTCAAAGATATGCAAATATGCTCCTGCAGATTCTACAAAAAGAGTGTTTCAAAACTGCTCTATGAAAAGAAAGGTTCGACTCTGTTAGTAGAGGGCACACATCACAAACAAGTTGCCGAGAATGCTTCTGTCTGGTTTTTATGGGAAGATATTTCCTTTTCCAACACAAGCCTGAATGCGCTCCAAATGGACACTTCCAGATACGACAAAAGGAGTGTTTCAAACCTGTTCTGTGAAAGGGAACGTTCCATTCTGTGACTTGAATGCAAACATCACCAAGTAGTTTCTCAGAACGCTGCTGTCTGCTTTTTATATGTATTCCCGTTTCCAACGAAATCGTCAAAGCCAGCCAAATATCCACTTGCAGGTTCCACAGAAAGAGTGTTTCAGAACTGCTCTCTCAAAAGACATGTTCAACTCTGTCAGTTGAGGGCACACATCACAAAGAAGTTTCTGAGAATGCTTCTGTCTAGTTTTTATGGGAAGATATTTCCTTTTTCACCATAGGCCTCAAAGCGCTCCAAATGTCCACTTCCAGGGAATGGAAAAAGAGTGTTTCCAACCTGCTCTATGAAAGCCAATGTTCAACTCCGTGACTTGAATGCAACCATCACAAGGAAGTTTCTGAGAATGCTTCTGTCTAGGTTTTATATGAAGATATTCCCGTTTCCAACGAAATCCTCAAAGCTATCCAAATATCCACTTGGAGATTCTACAAAAAGAGTGTTTCAAAACTGCTCTATCAAAAGAAAGGTTCTACTCCGTCAGTTGAGGACACACATCACGAGTAAGTTTCTGACAATGCTTCTGTCTAGTTTTTATGGGAAGATATGTCCTTTTTCACCTTAGGCCGGAAAGCGCTCCAAAAGTCCAGTTACAGACACTACAAAAAGAGTGTTTCAAACCTGCTATGTGAAAGGGAATGTTCAATTCTGTGACTTGAATGCAAACATCACAAAGAAGTTGCTGAGAATGCTGCTGTCTGCTTTTTATACCTTATCCCGTTTCCAACGAAATCCTCAAATCCAGCCAAATATCCACTTGCAGACTCCACAAAAAGAGTGTTTCAAAACTGTACTGTCAAAAGAAATGTTCAACTCTGTTAGTTGAGGACACACATGAGAGACTAGCTTCTGAGAATTCTTCTGTCCAGTTGTTACGGGAATATGTTTCCTTTTCAACATAGGCCTGAAACCGCTTCAAATATCCACTTCCAGATACTGCAAAGAGAGGGTTTCAAACCTTCTCTACGAAAGGGCATGTTCTCCTCAGTGACGTCAATGCAAACATCCCAAAGAAGTTTCTGAGAATGCTTCTGTCTGGATTTTATCTGAAGACAATCCCGTTTCCAACGAAATCCTCAAAGATATGCAAATATGCTCCTGCAGATTCTACAAAAAGAGTGTTTCAAAACTGCTCTATGAATAGAAAGGTTCGACTCTGTTAGTAGAGGGCACACATCACAAACAAGTTGCCGAGAATGCTTCTGTCTGGTTTTTATGGGAAGATATTTCCTTTTCCAACACAAGCCTGAATGCGCTCCAAATGGACACTTCCAGATACGACAAAAGGAGTGTTTCAAACCTGTTCTGTGAAAGGGAACGTTCCATTCTGTGACTTGAATGCAAACATCACCAAGTAGTTTCTCAGAACGCTGCTGTCTGCTTTTTATATGTATTCCCGTTTCCAACGAAATCGTCAAAGCCAGCCAAATATCCACTTGCAGGTTCCACAGAAAGAGTGTTTCAGAACTGCTCTCTCAAAAGACATGTTCAACTCTGTCAGTTGAGGACACACATCACAAAGAAGTTTCTGAGAATGCTTCTGTCTAGTTTTTATGGGAAGATATTTCCTTTTTCACCATAGGCCTCAAAGCGCACCAAATGTCCACTTCCAGGGAATGGAAAAAGAGTGTTTCCAACCTGCTCTATGAAAGCCAATGTTCAACTCCGTGACTTGAATGCAACCATCACAAGGAAGTTTCTGAGAATGCTTCTGTCTAGGTTTTATATGAAGATATTCCCGTTTCCAACGAAATCCTCAAAGCTATCCAAATATCCACTTGGAGATTCTACAAAAAGAGTGTTTCAAAACTGCTCTATCAAAAGAAAGGTTCTACTCCGTCAGTTGAGGACACACATCACGAGTAAGTTTCTGACAATGCTTCTGTGTAGTTTTTATGGGAAGATATGTCCTTTTTCACCTTAGGCCGGAAAGCGCTCCAAAAGTCCAGTTACAGACACTACAAAAAGAGTGTTTCAAACCTGCTCTGTGAAAGGGAATGTTCAATTCTGTGACTTGAATGCAAACATCACAGAGAAATTGCTGAGAATGCTGCTGTCTGCTTTTTATACCTTATCCCGTTTCCAACGAAATCCTCAAATCCAGCCAAATATCCACTTGCAGACTCCACAAAAAGAGTGTTTCAAAACTATACTCTCCAAAGAAATGTTCAACTCTGTTAGTTGAGGACACACATCAGAGACTAGCTTCTGAGAATGCTTCTGTCCAGTTGTTACGGGAAGATATTTCCTTTTTCAACATAGGCCTGAAACCGCTTCAAATGTCCACTTCCAGATACTGCAAAGAGAGTGTTTCAAACCTTCTCTACGAAAGGGCATGTTCTCCTCAGTGACGTCAATGCAAACATCCCAAAGAAGTTTCTGAGAATGCTTCTGTCTGGATTTTATCTGAGGACAATCCCGTTTCCAACGAAATCCTCAAAGATATGCAAATATGCTCCTGCAGATTCTACAAAAAGAGTGTTTCAAAACTGCTCTATGAAAAGAAAGGTTCGACTCTGTTAGTAGAGGGCACACATCACAAACAAGTTGCCGAGAATGTTTCTGTCTGGTTTTTATGGGAAGATATTTCCTTTTCCAACACAAGCCTGAATGCGCTCCAAATGGACACTTCGAGATACGACAAAAGGAGTGTTTCAAACCTGTTCTGTGAAAGGGAACCTTCCATTCTGTGACTTGAATGCAAACATCACCAAGTAGTTTCTCAGAACGCTGCTGTCTGTTTTTATATGTATTCCCGTTTCCAACGAAATCGTCAAAGCCCGCCAAATATCCACTTGCAGGTTCCACAGAAAGAGTGTTTCAAAACTGCTCTCTCAAAAGACATGTTCAACTCTGTCAGTTGAGGACTCACATCACAAAGAAGTTTCTGAGAATGCTTCTGTCTAGTTTTTATGGGAAGATATTTCCTTTTTCACCATAGGCCTCAAAGCGCTCCAAATGTCCACTTCCAGGGAATGGAAAAAGAGTGTTTCCAACCTACTGTATGAAAGCCAATGTTCAACTCCGTGACTTGAATGCAACCATCACAAGGAAGTTTCTGAGAATGCTTCTGTCTAGGTTTTATATGAAGATATTCCCGTTTCCAACGAAATCCTCAAAGGTACCCAAATATCCACTTGGAGATTCTACAAAAAGAGTGTTTCAAAACTGCTCTATCAAAAGAAAGGTTCTACTCCGTCAGTTGAGGACACACATCACGAGTAAGTTTCTGACAATGCTTCTGTCTAGTTTTTATGGGAAGATATGTCCTTTTTCACCTTAGGCCGGAAAGCGCTCCAAAAGTCCAGTTACAGACACTACAAAAAGAGTGTTTCAAACCTGCTTTGTGAAAGGGAATGTTCAATTCTGTGACTTGAATGCAAACATCACAAAGAAATTGCTGAGAATGCTGCTGTCTGCTTTTTATACCTTATCCCGTTTCCAACGAAATCCTCAAATCCAGCCAAATATCCACTTGCAGACTCCACAAAAAGAGTGTTTCAAAACTATACTCTCCAAAGAAATGTTCAACTCTGTTAGTTGAGGACACACATCAGAGACTAGCTTCTGAGAATGCTTCTGTCCAGTTGTTACGGGAAGATATTTCCTTTTTCAACATAGGCCTGAAACCGCTTCAAATGTCCACTTCCAGATACTGCAAAGAGAGTGTTTCAAACCTTCTCTACGAAAGGGCATGTTCTCCTCAGTGACGTCAATGCAAACATCCCAAAGAAGTTTCTGAGAATGCTTCTGTCTGGATTTTATCTGAAGACAATCCCGTTTCCAACGAAATCCTCAAAGCTATGCAAATATGCTCCTGCAGATTCTACAAAAAGAGTGTTTCAAAACTGCTCTATGAATAGAAAGGTTCGACTCTGTTAGTAGAGGGCACACATCACAAACAAGTTGCCGAGAAGGCTTCTGTCTGGTTTTTATGGGAAGATATTTCCTTTTCCAACACAAGCCTGAATGCGCTCCAAATGGACACTTCCAGATACGACAAAAGGAGTGTTTCAAACCTGTTCTGTGAAAGGGAACGTTCCATTCTGTGACTTGAATGCAAACATCACCAAGTAGTTTCTCAGAACGCTGCTGTCTGCTTTTTATATGTATTCCCGTTTCCAACGAAATCGTCAAAGCCAGCCAAATATCCACTTGCAGGTTCCACAGAAAGAGTGTTTCAAAACTGCTCTCTCAAAAGACATGTTCAACTCTGTCAGTTGAGGACACACATCACAAAGAAGTTTCTGAGAATGCTTCTGTCTAGTTTTTATGGGAAGATATTTCCTTTTTCACCATAGGCCTCAAAGCGCTCCAAATGTCCACTTCCAGGGAATGGAAAAAGAGTGTTTCCAACCTGCTCTATGAAAGCCAATGTTCAACTCCGTGACTTGAATGCAACCATCACAAGGAAGTTTCTGAGAATGCTTCTGTCTAGGTTTTATATGAAGATATTCCCGTTTCCAACGAAATCCTCAAAGCTATCCAAATATCCACTTGGAGATTCTACAAAAAGAGTGTTTCAAAACTGCTCTATCAAAAGAAAGGTTCTACTCCGTCAGTTGAGGACACACATCACGAGTAAGTTTCTGACAATGCTTCTGTCTAGTTTTTATGGGAAGATATGTCCTTTTTCACCTTAGGCCGGAAAGCGCTCCAAAAGTCCAGTTACAGACACTACAAAAAGAGTGTTTCAAACCTGCTCTGTGAAAGGGAATGTTCAATTCTGTGACTTGAATGCAAACATCACAGAGAAATTGCTGAGAATGCTGCTGTCTGCTTTTTATACCTTATCGCGTTTCCAACGAAATCCTCAAATCCAGCCAAATATCCACTTGCAGACTCCACAAAAAGAGTGTTTCAAAACTATACTCTCCAAAGAAATGTTCAACTCTGTTAGTTGAGGACACACATCAGAGACTAGCTTCTGAGAATGCTTCTGTCCAGTTGTTACGGGAATATGTTTCCTTTTCAACATAGGCCTGAAACCGCTTCAAATATCCACTTCCAGATACTGCAAAGAGAGGGTTTCAAACCTTCTCTACGAAAGGGCATGTTCTCCTCAGTGACGTCAATGCAAACATCCCAAAGAAGTTTCTGAGAATGCTTCTGTCTGGATTTTATCTGAAGACAATCCCGTTTCCAACGAAATCCTCAAAGATATGCAAATATGCTCCTGCAGATTCTACAAAAAGAGTGTTTCAAAACTGCTCTATGAATAGAAAGGTTCGACTCTGTTAGTAGAGGGCACACATCACAAACAAGTTGCCGAGAATGCTTCTGTCTGGTTTTTATGGGAAGATATTTCCTTTTCCAACACAAGCCTGAATGCGCTCCAAATGGACACTTCCAGATACGACAAAAGGAGTGTTTCAAACCTGTTCTGTGAAAGGGAACGTTCCATTCTGTGACTTGAATGCAAACATCACCAAGTAGTTTCTCAGAACGCTGCTGTCTGCTTTTTATATGTATTCCCGTTTCCAACGAAATCGTCAAAGCCAGCCAAATATCCACTTGCAGGTTCCACAAAAAGAGTGTTTCAAACTGCTCTCTCAAAAGACATGTTCAACTCTGTCAGTTGAGGACACACATCACAAAGATGTTTCTGAGAATGCTTCTGTCTAGTTTTTATGGGAAGATATTTCCTTTTTCACCATAGGCCTCAAAGCGCTCCAAATGTCCACTTCCAGGGAATGGAAAAAGAGTGTTTCCAACCTGCTCTATGAAAGCCAATGTTCAACTCCGTGACTTGAATGCAACCATCACAAGGAAGTTTCTGAGAATGCTTCTGTCTAGGTTTTATATGAAGATATTCCCGTTTCCAACGAAATCCTCAAAGCTATCCAAATATCCACTTGGAGATTCTACAAAAAGAGTGTTTCAAAACTGCTCTATCAAAAGAAAGGTTCTACTCCGTCAGTTGAGGACACACATCACGAGTAAGTTTCTGACAATGCTTCTGTCTAGTTTTTATGGGAAGATATGTCCTTTTTCACCTTAGGCCGGAAAGCGCTCCAAAAGTCCAGTTACAGACACTACAAAAAGATTGTTTCAAACCTGCTCTGTGAAAGGGAATGTTCAATTCTGTGACTTGAATGCAAACATCACAAAGAAATTGCTGAGAATGCTGCTGTCTGCTTTTTATACCTTATCGCGTTTCCAACGAAATCCTCAAATCCAGCCAAATATCCACTTGCAGACTCCACAAAAAGAGTGTTTCAAAACTATACTCTCCAAAGAAATGTTCAACTCTGTTAGTTGAGGACACACATCAGAGACTAGCTTCTGAGAATGCTTCTGTCCAGTTGTTAAGGGAAGATATTTCCTTTTCCAACATAAGCCTGAAACCGCTTCAAATGTCCACTTCCAGATACTGCAAAGAGAGTGTTTCAAACCTTCTCTACGAAAGGGCATGTTCTCCTCTGTGACGTCAATGCAAACATCCCAAAGAAGTTTCTGAGAATGCTTCTGTCTGGATTTTATCTGAAGACAATCCCGTTTCCAACGAAATCCTCAAAGCTATGCAAATATGCTCCTGCAGATTCTACAAAAAGAGTGTTTCAAAACTGCTCTATGAATAGAAAGGTTAGACTCTGTTAGTAGAGGGCACACATCACAAACAAGTTGCCGAGAAGGCTTCTGTCTGGTTTTTATGGGAAGATATTTCCTTTTCCAACACAGGCCTGAATGCGCTCCAAATGGACACTTCCAGATACGACAAAAGGAGTGTTTCAAACCTGTTCTGTGAAAGGGAACGTTCCATTCTGTGACTTGAATGCAAACATCACCAAGTAGTTTCTCAGAACGCTGCTGTCTGCTTTTTATATGTATTCCCGTTTCCAACGAAATCGTCAAAGCCAGCCAAATATCCACTTGCAGGTTCCACAGAAAGAGTGTTTCAGAACTGCTCTCTCAAAAGACATGTTCAACTCTGTCAGTTGAGGACACACATCACAAAGAAGTTTCTGAGAATGCTTCTGTCTAGTTTTTATGGGAAGATATTTCCTTTTTCACCATAGGCCTCAAAGCGCTCCAAATGTCCACTTCCAGGGAATGGAAAAAGAGTGTTTCCAACCTGCTCTATGAAAGCCAATGTGCAACTCCGTGACTTGAACGCAACCATCACAAGGAAGTTTCTGAGAATGCTTCTGTCTAGGTTTTATATGAAGATATTCCCGTTTCCAACGAAATCCTCAAAGCTATCCAAATATCCACTTGGAGATTCAACAAAAAGAGTGTTTCAAAACTGCTCTATCAAAAGAAAGGTTCTACTCCGTCAGTTGAGGACACACATCACGAGTAAGTTTCTGACAATGCTTCTGTCTAGTTTTTATGGGAAGATATGTCCTTTTTCACCTTAGGCCGGAAAGCGCTCCAAAAGTCCAGTTACAGACACTACAAAAAGAGTGTTTCAAACCTGCTCTGTGAAAGGGAATGTTCAATTCTGTGACTTGAATGCAAACATCACAAAGAAATTGCTGAGAATGCTGCTGTCTGCTTTTTATACCTTATCCCGTTTCCAACGAAATCCTCAAATCCAGCCAAATATCCACTTGCAGACTCCACAAAAAGAGTGTTTCAAAACTATACTCTCCAAAGAAATGTTCAACTCTGTTAGTTGAGGACACACATCAGAGACTAGCTTCTGAGAATGCTTCTGTCCAGTTGTTACGGGAAGATATTTCCTTTTTCAACATAGGCCTGAAACCGCTTCAAATGTCCACTTCCAGATACTGCAAAGAGAGTGTTTCAAACCTTCTCTACGAAAGGGCATGTTCTCCTCAGTGACGTCAATGCAAACATCCCAAAGAAGTTTCTGAGAATGCTTCTGTCTGGATTTTATCTGAAGACAATCCCGTTTCCAACGAAATCCTCAAAGATATGCAAATATGCTCCTGCAGATTCTACAGAAAGAGTGTTTCAAAACTGCTCTATGAATAGAAAGGTTCGACTCTGTTAGTAGAGGGCACACATCACAAACAAGTTGCCGAGAAGGCTTCTGTCTGGTTTTTATGGGAAGATATTTCCTTTTCCAACACAAGCCTGAATGCGCTCCAAATGGACACTTCCAGATACGACAAAAGGAGTGTTTCAAACCTGTTCTGTGAAAGGGAACGTTCCATTCTGTGACTTGAATGCAAACATCACCAAGTAGTTTCTCAGAACGCTGCTGTCTGCTTTTTATATGTATTCCCGTTTCCAACGAAATCGTCAAAGCCAGCCAAATATCCACTTGCAGGTTCCACAGAAAGAGTGTTTCAGAACTGCTCTCTCAAAAGACATGTTCAACTCTGTCAGTTGAGGACACACATCACAAAGAAGTTTCTGAGAATGCTAATGTCTAGTTTTTATGGGAAGATGTTTCCTTTTTCACCATAGGCCTCAAAGCGCTCCAAATGTCCACTTCCAGGGAATGGAAAAAGAGTGTTTCCAACCTGCTCTATGAAAGCCAATGTTCAACTCCGTGACATGAATGCAACCATCACAAGGAAGTTTCTGAGAATGCTTCTGTCTAGGTTTTATATGAAGATATTCCCGTTTCCAACGAAATCCTCAAAGCTATCCAAATATCCACTTGGAGATTCTACAAAAAGAGTGTTTCAAAACTGCTCTATCAAAAGAAAGGTTCTACTCCGTCAGTTGAGGACACACATCACGAGTAAGTTTCTGACAATGCTTCTGTCTAGTTTTTATGGGAAGATATGTCCTTTTTCACCTTAGGCCGGAAAGCGCTCCAAAAGTCCAGTTACAGACACTACAAAAAGAGTGTTTCAAACCTGCTCTGTGAAAGGGAATGTTCAATTCTGTGACTTGAATGCAAACATCACAAAGAAATTGCTGAGAATGCTGCTGTCTGCTTTTTATACCTTATCCCGTTTCCAACGAAATCCTCAAATCCAGCCAAATATCCACTTGCACACTCCACAAAAAGAGTTTTTCAAAACTATACTCTCCAAAGAAATGTTCAACTCTGTTAGTTGAGGACACACATCAGAGACTAGCTTCTGAGAATGCTTCTGTCCAGTTGTTACGGGAAGATATTTCCTTTTTCAACATAGGCCTGAAACCGCTTCAAATGTCCACTTCCAGATACTGCAAAGAGAGTGTTTCAAACCTTCTCTACGAAAGGGCATGTTCTCCTCAGTGACGTCAATGCAAACATCCCAAAGAAGTTTCTGAGAATGCTTCTGTCTGGATTTTATCTGAAGACAATCCCGTTTCCAACGAAATCCTCAAAGATATGCAAATATGCTCCTGCAGATTCTACAAAAAGAGTGTTTCAAAACTGCTCTATGAAAAGAAAAGTTCGACTCTGTTAGTAGAGGGCACACATCACAAACAAGTTGCCGAGAATGCTTCTGTCTAGTTTTTATGGGAAGATATTTCCTTTTTCAACACAAGCCAGAATGCGCTCCAAATGGACACTTCCAGATACGACAAAAGGAGTGTTTCAAACCTGTTGTATGAAAGGGAACGTTCCATTCTGTGACTTGAATGCAAACATCACCAAGAAGTTTCTCAGAACGCTGCTGTCTGCTTTTTATATGTATTACCGTTTCCAACGAAATCGTCAAATCCAGCCAAATATCCCCTTCAGATTCCACAAAAAGAGTGTTTCAAAACTGCTCTCTCAAAAGAAATGTTCAACTCTGTCAGTTGAGGACACACATCACGAGTAAGTTTCTGAGAATGCGTCTGTCTAGTTTTTATGGGAAGATATTTCCTTTTTCACCATAGGCCTCAATGCGCTCCAAATGTCCACTTCCAGGGAATGGAAAAAGAGTGTTTCCAACCTGCTCTATGAAAGCCAATGTTCAACTCCGTGACTTGAATGCAACCATCACAAGGAAGTTTCTGAGAATGCTTCTGTCTAGGTTTTATATGAAGATATTCCCGTTTCCAACGAAATCCTCAAAGCTATCCAAATATCCACTTGGAGATTCTACAAAAAGAGTGTTTCAAAACTGCTCTATCAAAAGAAAGGTTCTACTCCGTCAGTTGAGGACACACATCACGAGTAAGTTTCTGACAATGCTTCTGTCTAGTTTTTATGGGAATATATGTCCTTTTTCACCTTAGGCCGGAAAGCGCCCCAAAAATCCACTTACAGACACTACAAAAAGAGTGTTTCAAACCTGCTCTGTGAAAGAGAATGTTCAATTCTGTGACTTGAATGCAAACATCACAAAGAAGTTGCTGAGAATGCTGCTGTCTGCTTTTCATACCTTATCCCGTTTCCAACGAAATCCTCAAATCTAGCCAAGTATCCACTTGCACTCTCCACAAAAAGAGTGTTTCAAAACTGTACTGTCCAAAGAAATATTTAACTCTGTTAGTTGAGGACACACATCAGAGACTAGCTTCTGAGAATGCTTCTGTCCAGTTGTTACGGGAAGATGTTTCCTTTTTCAACATAGGCCTGAAACCGCTTCAAATGTCCACTTCTAGATACTGCAAAGAGAGTGTTTCAAACCTTCTCGACGAAAGGGCATGTTCTCCTCTGTGACGTCAATGCAAACATCCCAAAGAAGTTTCTGAGAATGCTTCTGTCTGGATTTTATCTGAAGACAATCCCGTTTCCAACGAAATCCTCAAACTATGCAAATATGCTCCTGCAGATTCTACAAAAAGAGTGTTTCAAAACTGCTCTATGAAAAGAAAGGTACGACCCTGTTAGTAGAGGGCACACATCACAAACAAGTTGCCGAGAATGCTTCTGTCTGGTTTTTATGGGAAGATATTTCCTTTTCCAACACTAGCCTGAATGCGCTCCAAATTGCCACTTCCAGATACGACAAAAGGCGTGTTTCAAACCTGTTCTATGAAAGGGAACGTTCCTTTCTGTGACTTGAATGCAAACATCACCAAGTAGTTTCTCAGAACACTGCTGACTGCTTTTAATATGTATTCCCGTTTCCAACGAAATCGTCAAAGCCAGCCAAATATCCACTTGCAGGTTCCACAGAAAGAGTGTTTCAAAACTGCTCTCTCAAAAGACATGTTCAACTCTGTCAGTTGAGGACACACATCACAAATAAGTTTCTGAGAATGCTTCTGTCTAGTTTTTATGGGAAGATATTTCCTTTTTCACCATAGGCCTCAAAGCGCTCCAAATGTCCACTTCCAGGGGATGGAAAAAGAGTGTTTCCAACCTACTCTATGAAAGCGAATGTTCAACTCCGTGACTTGAATGCAAACATCACAAGGAAGTTTCTGAGAATGCTTCTGTCTAGATTTTATATGAAGATATTCCCGTTTCCAACGAAATCCTCAAAGCTATCCAAATATCCACTTGGAGATTCTACAAAAAGAGTGTTTCAAAACTGTTCTATCAAAAGAAAGGTTCTACTCCGTCAGTTGAGGACACACATCACGAATAAGTTTCTGACAATGCTTCTGTCTAGTTTTTATGGGAAGATATGTCCTTTTTCACCTTAGGCCGGAAAGCGCTCCAAAAGTCCAGTTACAGACACTACAAAAAGAGTGTTTCAAACCTGCTCTGTGAAAGGGAATGTTCAATTCTGTGACTTGAATGCAAACATCACAAAGAAATTGCTGAGAATGCTGCTGTCTGCTTTTTATACCTTATCCCGTTTCCAACGAAATCCTCAAATCCAGCCAAATATCCACTTGCACACTCCACAAAAAGAGTTTTTCAAAACTATACTCTCCAAAGAAATGTTCAACTCTGTTAGTTGAGGACACACATCAGAGACTAGCTTCTGAGAATGCTTCTGTCCAGTTGTTACGGGAAGATATTTCCTTTTTCAACATAGGCCTGAAACCGCTTCAAATGTCCACTTCCAGATACTGCAAAGAGAGTGTTTCAAACCTTCTCTATGAAAGGGCATGTTCTCCTCTGTGACGTCAATGCAAACATCCCAAAGAAGTTTCTGAGAATGCTTCTGTCTGGATTTTATCTGAAGACAATCCCGTTTCCAACGAAATCCTCAAAGATATGCAAATATGCTCCTGCAGATTCTACAAAAAGAGTGTTTCAAAACTGCTCTATGAAAAGAAAAGTTCGACTCTGTTAGTAGAGGGCACACATCACAAACAAGTTGCCGAGAATGCTTCTGTCTGATTTTTTTGGGAAGATATTTCCTTTTCCAACACAAGCCTGAATGCGCTCCAAATGGACACTTCCAGATACGACAAAAGGAGTGTTTCAAACCTGTTCTGTGAAAGGGAACGTTCCATTCTGTGACTTGAATGCAAACATCACCAAGTAGTTTCTCAGAACGCAGCTGTCTGCTTTTTATATGTATTCCCGTTTCCAACGAAATCGTCAAACCAGCTAAATATCCACTTGCAGGTTCCACAGAAAGAGTGTTTCAAAACTGCTCTCTCAAAAGACATGTTCAACTCTGTCAGTTGAGGACACACATCACAATGAAGTTTCTGAGAATGCTTCTGTCTAGTTTTTATGGGAAGATATTTCCTTTTTCACCATAGGCCTCAAAGCGCTCCAAATGTCCACTTCCAGGGAATGGAAAAAGAGTGTTTCCAACCTGCTCTATGAAAGCCAATGTTCAACTCCGTGACTTGAATGCAACCATCACAAGGAAGTTTCTGAGAATGCTTCTGTCTAGGTTTTATATGAAGATATTCCCGTTTCCAACGAAATCCTCAAAGCTACCCAAATATCCACTTGGAGATTCTACAAAAAGAGTGTTTCAAAACTGCTCTATCAAAAGAAAGGTTCTACTCCGTCAGTTGAGGACACACATCACGAGTAAGTTTCTGACAATGCTTCTGTCTAGTTTTTATGGGAAGATATGTCCTTTTTCACCTTAGGCCGGAAAGCGCTCCAAAAGTCCAGTTACAGACACTACAAAAAGAGTGTTTCAAACCTGCTCTGTGAAAGGGAATGTTCAATTCTGTGACTTGAATGCAAACATCACAAAGAAGTTGCTGAGAATGCTGCTGTCTGCTTTTTATACCTTATCCCGTTTCCAACGAAATCCTCAAATCCAGCCAAATATCCACTTGCAGACTCCACAAAAAGAGTGTTTCAAAACTGTACTGTCAAAAGAAATGTTCAACTCTGTTAGTTGAGGACACACATCAGAGACTAGCTTCTGAGAATGCTTCTGTCCAGTTGTTACGGGAAGATATTTCCTTTTTCAACATAGGCCTGAAACCACTTCAAATGTCCACTTCCAGATACTACAAAGAGAGTGTTTCAAACCTTCTCTACGAAAGGGCATGTTCTCCTCTGTGACGTCAATGCAAACATCCCAAAGAAGTTTCTGAGAATGCTTCTGTCTGGATTTTATCTGAAGACAATCCCGTTTCCAAAGAAATCCTCAAAGATATGCAAATATGCTCCTTCAGATTCTACAAAAGGAGTGTTTCAAAACTGCTCTATGAATAGAAAGGTTCGACTCTGTTAGTAGAGGGCACACATCACAAACAAGTTGCCGAGAAGGCTTCTGTCTGGTTTTTATGGGAAGATATTTCCTTTTCCAACACAAGCCTGAATGCGCTCCAAATGGACACTTCCAGATACGACAAAAGGAGTGTTTCAAACCTGTTCTGTGAAAGGGAACGTTCCATTCTGTGACTTGAATGCAAACATCACCAAGTAGTTTCTCAGAACGCTGCTGTCTGCTTTTTATATGTATTCCCGTTTCCAACGAAATCGTCAAAGCCAGCCAAATATCCACTTGCAGGTTCCACAGAAAGATTGTTTCAAAACTGCTTTCTCAAAAGACATGTTCAACTCTGTCAGTTGAGGACACACATCACAAAGAAGTTTCTGAGAATGCTTCTGTCTAGTTTTTATGGGAAGATATTTCCTTTTTCACCATAGGCCTCAAAGCGCTCCAAATGTCCACTTCCAGGGAATGGAAAAAGAGTGTTTCCAACCTGCTCTATGAATGCCAATGTTCAACTCCGTGACTTGAATGCAACCATCACAAGGAAGTTTCTGAGAATGCTTCTCTCTAGATTTTATACGAAGATATTCCCGTTTCCAAGGAAATCCACAAAGCTATCGAAATATCCAGTTGCAGATTCTACAAAAAGAGTGTTTCAAAACTGCTCTATCAAAAGAAAGGTTCTACCCCTTTAGTTGAGGACACACATCACGAGTAAGTTTCTGAGAATGCTTCTGTCTAGTTTTTATGGGAAGATATGTCCTTTTTCACCTTAGGCCGGAAAGCGCCCCAAATGTCCAGTTACAGACACTACAAAAAGAGTGTTTCAAACCTGCTCTGTGAAAGGGAATGTTCAATTCTGTGACTTGAATGCAAACATCACAAAGAAGTTGCTGAGAATGCTGCTGTCGGCTTTTTATTCGTAATCCCGTTTCCAACGAAATCCTCAAATCTAGCCAAATATCCACTTTCAGACTCCCCAAAAAGAGTATTTCAAAACTCTTCTGTCTAAAGAAATGTTCAACTCTGTTAGTTGAGGACACTCATGAGAGACTAGCTTCTGAGTATGCTTCTGTCCAGTTGTTACGGGAAGATATTTCTTTTTTCAACATAGGCCTGAAACCGCTCCAAAAGTCCACTTCCAGATACTACAAAAACAGTGTTTCAAACCTTCTCTACGAAAGGGCATGTTCTCCTCTGTGACTTGAATGCAAACATCCCAAAGAAGTTTCTGAGAATGCTTCTGTCTGGATTTTATCTGAAGACAATCCCGTTTCCAACGAAATCCTCAAAGCATATGCAAATATGCTCCTGCAGATTCTACAAAAAGAGTGTTTCAAAACTGCTCTATGAAAAGAAAGGTTCGACTCTGTTAGTAGAGGGCACACATCACAAACAAGTTGCCGAGAATGCTTCTGTCTAGTTTTTATGGGAAGATATTTCCTTTTTCAACACAAGCCTGAATGCGCTCCAAATGGACACTTCCAGATACGACAAAAGGAGAGTTTCAAACCTGTTCTATGAAAGGGAACGTTCCATTCTGTGACTTGAATGTAAACATCACCAAGAAGTTTCTCAGAACGCTGCTGTCTGCTTTTTATATGTATTCCCGTTTCCAACGAAGTCGTCAACGCCAGCCAAATATCCACTTGCAGATTCCACAAAAAGAGTGTTTCAAAACTGCTCTCTCAAAAGAAATGTTCAACTCTGTCAGTTGAGGACACACATCACAAATAAGTTTCTGAGAATGCTTCTGTCTAGTTTTGATGGGAAGATATTTCCTTTTTCACCATAGGCCTCGAAGCGCTCCCAATGTCCACTTCCACGGAATGGAAAAAGAGTGTTTCCAACCTGCTCTATGAAAGCGAATGTTCAACTCAGTGACTTGAATGCAACCATCACAAGGAAGTTTCTGAGAATGCTTCTGTCTAGGTTTTATATGAAGATATTCCCGTTTCCAACGAAATCCTCAAAGCTATCCAAATATCCACTTGGAGATTCTACAAAAAGAGTGTTTCAAAACTGCTCTATCAAAAGAAAGGTTCTACTCCGTCAGTTGAGGACACACATCACGAGTAAGTTTCTGACAATGCTTCTGTCTAGTTTTTATGGGAAGATATGTCCTTTTTCACCTTAGGCCGGAGAGCGCTCCAAAAGTCCAGTTACAGACACTACAAAAAGAGTGTTTCAAACCTGCTCTGTGAAAGGGAATGTTCAATTCTGTGACTTGAATGCAAACATCACAAAGAAATTGCTGAGAATGCTGCTGTCTGCTTTTTATACCTTATCCCGTTTCCAACGAAATCCTCAAATCCAGCCAAATATCCACTTGCAGACTCCACAAAAAGAGTGTTTCAAAACTATACTCTCCAAAGAAATGTTCAACTCTGTTAGTTGAGGACACACATCAGAGACTAGCTTCTGAGAATGCTTCTGTCCAGTTGTTACGGGAAGATATTTCCTTTTTCAACATAGGCCTGAAACCGCTTCAAATGTCCACTTCCAGATACTGCAAAGAGAGTGTTTCAAACCTTCTCTACGAAAGGGCATGTTCTCCTCAGTGACGTCAATGCAAACATCCCAAAGAAGTTTCTGAGAATGCTTCTGTCTGGATTTTATCTGAAGACAATCCCGTTTCCAACGAAATCCTCAAAGCTATGCAAATATGCTCCTGCAGATTCTACAAAAAGAGTGTTTCAAAACTGCTCTATGAATAGAAAGGTTCGACTCTGTTAGTAGAGGGCACACATCACAAACAAGTTGCCGAGAAGGCTTCTGTCTGGTTTTTATGGGAAGATATTTCCTTTTCCAACACAGGCCTGAATGCGCTCCAAATGGACACTTCCAGATACGACAAAAGGAGTGTTTCAAACCTGTTCTGTGAAAGGGAACGTTCCATTCTGTGACTTGAATGCAAACATCACCAAGTAGTTTCTCAGAACGCTGCTGTCTGCTTTTTATATGTATTCCCGTTTCCTACGAAATCGTCAAAGCCAGCCAAATATCCACTTGCAGGTTCCACAGAAAGAGTGTTTCAGAACTGCTCTCTGAAAAGACATGTTCAACTCTGTCAGTTGAGGACACACATCACAAAGAAGTTTCTGAGAATGCTTCTGTCTAGTTTTTATGGGAAGATATTTCCTTTTTCACCATAGGCCTCAATGCGCTCCAAATGTCCACTTCCAGGGAATGGAAAAAGAGTGTTTCCAACCTGCTCTATGAAAGCCAATGTTCAACTCCGTGACTTGAATGCAACCATCACAAGGAAGTTTCTGAGAATGCTTCTGTCTAGGTTTTATATGAAGATATTCCCGTTTCCAACGAAATCCTCAAAGCTATCCAAATATCCACTTGGAGATTCTACAAAAAGAGTGTTTCAAAACTGCTCTATCAAAAGAAAGGTTCTACTCCGTCAGTTGAGGACACACATCACGAGTAAGTTTCTGACAATGCTTCTGTGTAGTTTTTATGGGAAGATATGTCCTTTTTCACCTTAGGCCGGAAAGCGCTCCAAAAGTCCAGTTACAGACACTACAAAAAGAGTGTTTCAAACCTGCTCTGTGAAAGGGAATGTTCAATTCTGTGACTTGAATGCAAACATCACAAAGAAATTGCTGAGAATGCTGCTGTCTGCTTTTTATACCTTATCCCGTTTCCAACGAAATCCTCAAATCCAGCCAAATATCCACTTGCAGACTCCACAAAAAGAGTGTTTCAAAACTATACTCTCCAAAGAAATGTTCAACTCTGTTAGTTGAGGACACACATCAGAGACTAGCTTCTGAGAATGCTTCTGTCCAGTTGTTACGGGAAGATATTTCCTTTTTCAACATAGGCCTGAAACCGCTTCAAATGTCCACTTCCAGATACTGCAAAGAGAGTGTTTCAAACCTTCTCTACGAAAGGGCATGTTCTCCTCAGTGACGTCAATGCAAACATCCCAAAGAAGTTTCTGAGAATGCTTCTGTCTGGATTTTATCTGAAGACAATCCCGTTTCCAACGAAATCCTCAAAGCTATGCAAATATGCTCCTGCAGATTCTACAAAAAGAGTGTTTCAAAACTGCTCTATGAATAGAAAGGTTCGACTCTGTTAGTAGAGGGCACACATCACAAACAAGTTGCCGAGAAGGCTTCTGTCTGGTTTTTATGGGAAGATATTTCCTTTTCCAACACAAGCCTGAATGCGCTCCAAATGGACACTTCCAGATACGACAAAAGGAGTGTTTCAAACCTGTTCTGTGAAAGGGAACGTTCCATTCTGTGACTTGAATGCAAACATCACCAAGTAGTTTCTCAGAACGCTGCTGTCTGCTTTTTATATGTATTCCCGTTTCCAACGAAATCGTCAAAGCCAGCCAAATATCCACTTGCAGGTTCCACAGAAAGAGTGTTTCAGAACTGCTCTCTCAAAAGACATGTTCAACTCTGTCAGTTGAGGACACACATCACAAAGAAGTTTCTGAGAATGCTTCTGTCTAGTTTTTATGGGAAGATATTTCCTTTTTCACCATAGGCCTCAAAGCGCTCCAAATGTCCACTTCCAGGGAATGGAAAAAGAGTGTTTCCAACCTGCTCTATGAATGCCAATGTTCAACTCCGTGACTTGAATGCAACCATCACAAGGAAAGTTTCTGAGAATGCTTCTGTCTAGGTTTTATATGAAGATATTCCCGTTTCCAACGAAATCCTCAAAGCTATCCAAATATCCACTTGGAGATTCTACAAAAAGAGTGTTTCAAAACTGCTCTATCAAAAGAAAGGTTCTACTCCGTCAGTTGAGGACACACATCACGAGTAAGTTTCTGACAATGCTTCTGTCTAGTTTTTATGGGAAGATATGTCCTTTTTCACCTTAGGCCGGAAAGCGCTCCAAAAGTCCAGTTACAGACACTACAAAAAGAGTGTTTCAAACCTGCTCTGTGAAAGGGAATGTTCAATTCTGTGACTTGAATGCAAACATCACAAAGAAATTGCTGAGAATGCTGCTGTCTGCTTTTTATACCTTATCCCGTTTCCAACGAAATCCTCAAATCCAGCCAAATATCCACTTGCACACTCCACAAAAAGAGTTTTTCAAAACTATACTCTCCAAAGAAATGTTCAACTCTGTTAGTTGAGGACACACATCAGAGACTAGCTTCTGAGAATGCTTCTGTCCAGTTGTTACGGGAAGATATTTCCTTTTTCAACATAGGCCTGAAACCGCTTCAAATGTCCACTTCCAGATACTGCAAAGAGAGTGTTTCAAACCTTCTCTACGAAAGGGCATGTTCTCCTCTGTGACGTCAATGCAAACATCCCAAAGAAGTTTCTGAGAATGCTTCTGTCTGGATTTTATCTGAAGACAATCCCGTTTCCAACGAAATCCTCAAAGATATGCAAATATGCTCCTGCAGATTCTACAAAAAGAGTGTTTCAAAACTGCTCTATGAAAAGAAAAGTTCGACTCTGTTAGTAGAGGGCACACATCACAAACAAGTTGCCGAGAATGCTTTTGTCTGATTTTTTTGGGAAGATATTTCCTTTTCCAACACAAGCCTGAATGCGCTCCAAATGGACACTTCCAGATACGACAAAAGGAGTGTTTCAAACCTGTTCTGTGAAAGGGAACGTTCCATTCTGTGACTTGAATGCAAACATCACCAAGTAGTTTCTCAGAACGCAGCTGTCTGCTTTTTATATGTATTCCCGTTTCCAACGAAATCGTCAAAGCCAGCCAAATATCCACTTGCAGGTTCCACAGAAAGAGTGTTTCAAAACTGCTCTCTCAAAAGACATGTTCAACTCTGTCAGTTGAGGACACACATCACAAAGAAGTTTCTGAGAATGCTTTCTGTCTAGTTTTTATGGGAAGATATTTCCTTTTTCACCATAGGCCTCAAAGCGCTCCAAATGTCCACTTCCAGGGAATGGAAAAAGAGTGTTTCCAACCTGCTCTATGAAAGCCAATGTTCAACTCCGTGACTTGAATGCAACCATCACAAGGAAGTTTCTGAGAATGCTTCTGTCTAGGTTTTATATGAAGATATTCCCGTTTCCAACGAAATCCTCAAAGCTATCCAAATATCCACTTGGAGATTCTACAAAAAGAGTGTTTCAAAACTGCTCTATCAAAAGAAAGGTTCTACTCCGTCAGTTGAGGACACACATCACGAGTAAGTTTCTGACAATGCTTCTGTCTAGTTTTTATGGGAAGATATGTCCTTTTTCACCTTAGGCCGGAAAGCGCTCCAAAAGTCCAGTTACAGACACTACAAAAAGAGTGTTTCAAACCTGCTATGTGAAAGGGAATGTTCAATTCTGTGACTTGAATGCAAACATCACAAAGAAGTTGCTGAGAATGCTGCTGTCTGCTTTTTATACCTTATCCCGTTTCCAACGAAATCCTCAAATCCAGCCAAATATCCACTTGCAGACTCCACAAAAAGAGTGTTTCAAAACTGTACTGTCAAAAGAAATGTTCAACTCTGTTAGTTGAGGACACACATGAGAGACTAGCTTCTGAGAATTCTTCTGTCCAGTTGTTACGGGAAGATATTTCCTTTTTCAACATAGGCCTGAAACCGCTTCAAGTGTCCACTTCCAGATACTGCAAAGAGAGTGTTTCAAACCTTCTCTACGAAAGGGCATGTTCTCCTCTGTGACGTCAATGCAAACATCCCAAAGAACTTTCTGAGAATGCTTCTGTCTGGATTTTATCTGAAGACAATCCCGTTTCCAACCAAATCCTCAAAGATATACAAATATGCTCCTGCAGATTCTACAAAAAGAGTGTTTCAAAACTGCTCTATGAATAGAAAGGTTCGACTCTGTTAGTAGAGGGCACACATCACAAACAAGTTGCCGAGAATGCTTCTGTCTGGTTTTTATGGGAAGATATTTCCTTTTCCAACACAAGCCTGAATGCGCTCCAAATGGACACTTCCAGATACGACTAAAGGAGTGTTTCAAACCTTTTCTGGGAAAGGGAACGTTCCATTCTGTGACTTGAATGCAAACATCACCAAGTAGTTTCTCAGACGCTGCTGTCTGCTTTTTATATGTATTCCCGTTTCCAACGAAATCGTCAAAGCCAGCCAAATATCCACTTGCAGGTTCCACAGAAAGAGTGTTTCAAAACTGCTCTCTCAAAAGACATGTTCAACTCTGTCAGTTGAGGACACACATCACAAAGAAGTTTCTGAGAATGCTTCTGTCTAGTTTTTATGGGAAGATATTTCCTTTTTCACCATAGGCCTCAAAGCGCTCCAAATGTCCACTTCCAGGGAATGGAAAAAGAGTGTTTCCAACCTGCTCTATGAAAGCCAATGTTCAACTCCGTGACTTGAATGCAACCATCACAAGGAAGTTTCTGAGAATGCTTCTCTCTAGATTTTATATGAAGATATTCCCGTTTCCAACGAAATCCACAAAGCTATCGAAATATCCACTTGCAGATTCTACAAAAAGAGTGTTTCAAAACTGCTCTATCAAAAGAAAGGTTCTACCCCTTTAGTTGAGGACACACATCACGAGTAAGTTTCTGAGAATGCTTATCTGTCTAGTTTTCATGGGAAGATATGTCCTTTTTCACCTTAGGCCGGAAAGTGCTCCAAAAGTCCAGTTACAGACACTACAAAAAGAGTGTTTCAAACCTGCTCTGTGAAAGGGAATGTTCAATTCTGTGACTTGAATGCAAACATCACAAAGAAGTTGCTGAGAATGCTGCTGTCTGCTTTTTATACCTTATCCCGTTTCCAACGGAATCTTCAAATCTAGCCAAATATCCACTTGCAGACTCCACAAAAAGAGTGTTTCAAAACTGTACTCTCCAAAGAAATGTTCAAATCTTTTAGTTGAGGACACACATCAGAGACTAGCTTGTGAGAATGCTTCTGTCCAGTTGTTACGGGAAGATATTTCCTTTTTCAACATAGGCCTGAAACCGCTTCAAATGTCCACTTCCAGATACTGCAAAGAGAGTGTTTCAAACCTTCTCTACGAAAGGGCATGTTCTCCTCAGTGACGTCAATGCAAACATCCCAAAGAAGTTTCTGAGAATGCTTCTGTCTGGATTTTATCTGAAGACAATCCCGTTTCCAACGAAATCCTCAAAGCTATGCAAATATGCTCCTGCAGATTCTACAAAAAGAGTGTTTCAAAACTGCTCTATGAATAGAAAGGTTCGACTCTGTTAGTAGAGGGCACACATCACAAACAAGTTGCCGAGAAGGCTTCTGTCTGGTTTTTATGGGAAGATATTTCCTTTTCCAACACAAGCCTGAATGCGCTCCAAATGGACACTTCCACATACGACAAAAGGAGTGTTTCAAACCTGTTCTGTGAAAGGGAACGTTCCATTCTGTGACTTGAATGCAAACATCACCAAGTAGTTTCTCAGAACGCTGCTGTCTGCTTTTTATATGTATTCCCGTTTCCAACGAAATCGTCAAAGCCAGCCAAATATCCACTTGCAGGTTCCACAGAAAGAGTGTTTCAGAACTGCTCTCTCAAAAGACATGTTCAACTCTGTCAGTTGAGGACACACATCACAAAGAAGTTTCTGAGAATGCTTCTGTCTAGTTTTTTTGGGAAGATATTTCCTTTTTCACCATAGGCCTCAAAGCGCTCCAAATGTCCAGTTCCAGGTAATGGAAAAAGAGTGTTTCAAACATGCTCTATGAAAGCGAATGTTCAACTCTGTGACTTGAATACAACCATTACAAGGAAGTTTCTGATAATACTTCTCTCTAGATTTTATATGAAGATATTCCCGTTTCCAACGAAATCCACAAAGCTATCGAAATATCCACTTGCAGATTCTACAAAAAGAGTGTTTCAAAACTGCTCTATCAAAAGAAAGGTTCTACCACTTTAGTTGAGGACACACATCACGAGTAAGTTTCTGAGAATGCTTCTGTCTAGTTTTTATGGGAAGATATGTCCTTTTTCACCTTAGGCCGGAAAGCGCTCCAAAAGTCCAGTTACAGACACTACAAAAAGAGTGTTTCAAACCTGCTCTGTGAAAGGGAATGTTCAATTCTGTGACTTGAATGCAAACATCACAAAGAAATTGCTGAGAATGCTGCTGTCTGCTTTTTATACCTTATCCCGTTTCCAACGAAATCCTCAAATCCAGCCAAATATCCACTTGCAGACTCCACAAAAAGAGTGTTTCAAAACTATACTCTCCAAAGAAATGTTCAACTCTGTTAGTTGAGGACACACATCAGAGACTAGCTTCTGAGAATGCTTCTGTCCAGTTGTTACGGGAAGATATTTCCTTTTTCAACATAGGCCTGAAACCGCTTCAAATGTCCACTTCCAGATACTGCAAAGAGAGTGTTTCAAACCTTCTCTACGAAAGGGCATGTTCTCCTCAGTGACGTCAATGCAAACATCCCAAAGAAGTTTCTGAGAATGCTTCTGTCTGGATTTTATCTGAAGACAATCCCGTTTCCAACGAAATCCTCAAAGCTATGCAAATATGCTCCTGCAGATTCTACAAAAAGAGTGTTTCAAAACTGCTCTATGAATAGAAAGGTTCGACTCTGTTAGTAGAGGGCACACATCACAAACAAGTTGCCGAGAAGGCTTCTGTCTGGTTTTTATGGGAAGATATTTCCTTTTCCAACACAAGCCTGAATGCGCTCCAAATGGACACTTCCAGATACGACAAAAGGAGTGTTTCAAACCTGTTCTGTGAAAGGGAACGTTCCATTCTGTGACTTGAATGCAAACATCACCAAGTAGTTTCTCAGAACGCTGCTGTCTGCTTTTTATATGTATTCCCATTTCCAACGAAATCGTCAAAGCCAGCCAAATATCCACTTGCAGGTTCCACAGAAAGAGTGTTTCAGAACTGCTCTCTCAAAAGACATGTTCAACTCTGTCAGTTGAGGACACACATCACAAAGAAGTTTCTGAGAATGCTTCTGTCTAGTTTTTATGGGAAGATATTTCCTTTTTCACCATAGGCCTCAAAGCGCTCCAAATGTCCACTTCCAGGGAATGGAAAAAGAGTGTTTCCAACCTGCTCTATGAAAGCCAATGTTCATCTCCGTGACTTGAATGCAACCATCACAAGGAAGTTTCTGAGAATGCTTCTGTCTAGGTTTTATATGAAGATATTCCCGTTTCCAACGAAATCCTCAAAGCTATCCAAATATCCACTTGGAGATTCTACAAAAAGAGTGTTTCAAAACTGCTCTATCAAAAGAAAGGTTCTACTCCGTCAGTTGAGGACACACATCACGAGTAAGTTTCTGACAATGCTTCTGTCTAGTTTTTATGGGAAGATATGTCCTTTTTCACCTTAGGCCGGAAAGCGCTCCAAAAGTCCAGTTACAGACACTACAAAAAGAGTGTTTCAAACCTGCTATGTGAAAGGGAATGTTCAATTCTGTGACTTGAATGCAAACATCACAAAGAAGTTGCTGAGAATGCTGCTGTCTGCTTTTTATACCTTATCGCGTTTCCAACGAAATCCTCAAATCCAGCCAAATATCCAATTGCAGACTCCACAAAAAGAGTGTTTCAAAACTATACTCTCCAAAGAAATGTTCAACTCTGTTAGTTGAGGACACACATCAGAGACTAGCTTCTGAGAATGCTTCTGTCCAGTTGTTACGGGAAGATATTTCCTTTTTCAACATAGGCCTGAAACAGCTTCAAATGTCCGCTTCCAGATACTGCAAAGAGAGTGTTTCAAACCTTCTCTACGAAGGGGCATGTTCTCCTCAGTGACGTCAATGCAAACATCCCAAAGAAGTTTCTGAGAATGCTTCTGTCTGGATTTTATCTGAAGACAATCCCGTTTCCAACGAAATCCTCAAAGATATGCAAATATGCTCCTGCAGATTCTACAAAAAGAGTGTTTCAAAACTGCTCTATGAAAAGAAAGGTTCGACTCTGTTAGTAGAGGGCACACATCACAAACAAGTTGCCGAGAATGCTTCTGTCTGGTTTTTATGGGAAGATATTTCCTTTTCCAACACAAGCCTGAATGCGCTCCAAATGGACACTTCCAGATACGACAAAAGGAGTGTTTCAAACCTGTTCTGTGAAAGGGAACGTTCCATTCTGTGACTTGAATGCAAACATCACCAAGTAGTTTCTCAGAACGCTGCTGTCTGCTTTTTATATGTATTCCCGTTTCCAACGAAATCGTCAAAGCCAGCCAAATATCCACTTGCAGGTTCCACAGAAAGAGTGTTTCAAAACTGCTCTCTCAAAAGACATGTTCAACTCTGTCAGTTGAGGACACACATCACAAAGAAGTTTCTGAGAATGCTTCTGTCTAGTTTTTTTGGGAAGATATTTCCTTTTTCACCATAGGCCTCAAAGCGCTCCAAATGTCCACTTCCAGGTAATGGAAAAAGAGTGTTTCAAACATGCTCTATGAAAGCGAATGTTCAACTCTGTTACTTGAATGCAACCATCACAAGGAAGTTTCTGATAATACTTCTGTCTAGGTTTTATATGAAGATATTCCCGTTTCCAACGAAATCCTCAAAGCTATCCAAATATCCACTTGGAGATTCTACAAAAAGAGTGTTTCAAAACTGCTCTATCAAAAGAAAGGTTCTACTCCGTCAGTTGAGGACACACATCACGAGTAAGTTTCTGACAATGCTTCTGTCTAGTTTTTATGGGAAGATATGTCCTTTTTCACCTTAGGCCGGAAAGCGCTCCAAAAGTCCAGTTACAGACACTACAAAAAGAGTGTTTCAAACCTGCTCTGTGAAAGGGAATGTTCAATTCTGTGACTTGAATGCAAACATCACAAAGAAGTTGCTGAGAATGCTGCTGTCTGCTTTTTATACCTTATCCCATATCCAACGAAATCCTCAAATCTAGTCAAGTATCCACTTGCAGTCTCCACAAAAAGAGTGTTGCAAAACTGTACTCTCCAAAGAAATGTTCAACTCTGTTAGTTGAGGACAAACATCAGAGACTAGCTTCTGGGAATGCTTCTGTCCAGTTGTTACGGGAAGATATTTCCTTTTTCAACATAGGCCTGAAACCGCTTCAAGTGTCCACTTCCAGATACTGCAAAGAGAGTGTTTCAAACCTTCTCTACGAAAGGGCATGTTCTCCTCTGTGACGTCAATGCAAACATCCCAAAGAAGTTTCTGAGAATGCTTCTGTCTGGATTTTATCTGAAGACAATCCCGTTTCCAACGAAATCCTCAAAGCTATGCAAATATGCTCCTGCAGATTCTACAAAAAGAGTGTTTCAAAACTGCTCTATGAATAGAAAGGTTCGACTCTGTTAGTAGAGGGCACACATCACAAACAAGTTGCCGAGAAGGCTTCTGTCTGGTTTTTATGGGAAGATATTTCCTTTTCCAACACAGGCCTGAATGCGCTCCAAATGGACACTTCCAGATACGACAAAAGGAGTGTTTCAAACCTGTTCTGTGAAAGGGAACGTTCCATTCTGTGACTTGAATGCAAACATCACCAAGTAGTTTCTCAGAACGCTGCTGTCTGCTTTTTATATGTATTCCCGTTTCCAACGAAATCGTCAAAGCCAGCCAAATATCCACTTGCAGGTTCCACAGAAAGAGTGTTTCAAAACTGCTCTCTCAAAAGACATGTTCAACTCTGTCAGTTGAGGACACACATCACAAAGAAGTTTCTGAGAATGCTTCTGTCTAGTTTTGATGGGAAGATATTTCCTTTTTCACCATAGGCCTCGAAGCGCTCCAAATGTCCACTTCCACCGAATGGAAAAAGAGTGTTTCCAACCTGCTCTATGAAAGCGAATGTTCAACTCCGTGACTTGAATGCAACCATCACAAGGAAGTTTCTGAGAATGCTTCTGTCTAGGTTTTATATGAAGATATTCCCGTTTCCAACGAAATCCTCAAAGCTATCCAAATATCCACTTGGAGATTCTACAAAAAGAGTGTTTCAAAACTGCTCTATCAAAAGAAAGGTTCTATTCCGTCAGTTGAGGACACACATCACGAGTAAGTTTCTGACAATGCTTCTGTCTAGTTTTTATGGGAAGATATTTCCTTTTTCACCTGAGGCCGGAAAGCGCTCCAAATGTCCACTTCCAGATACTACAAAAGGAGTGATTCAAACCTGCTCTATGATAGGGAATGTTCAACTCTGTGTCCTGAATACAAACATCACAAAGATGTTTCTCAGAACGCTGCTGTCTGCTTTTTATACCTTATCCCGTTTCCAACGAAATCCTCAAATCCAGCCAAATATCCACTTGCAGACTCCACAAAAAGAGTGTTTCAAAACTCTACTGTCAAAAGAAATGTTCAACTCTGTTAGTTGAGGACACACATCAGAGACTAGCTTCTGAGAATGCTTCTGTCCAGTTGTTACGGGAAGATATTTCCTTTTTCAAAATAGGCCTGATACCGCTTCAAATGTCCGCTTCCAGATACTGCAAAGAGAGTGTTTCAAACCTTCTCTACGAAAGGGCATGTTCTCCTCTGTGACGTCAATGCAAACATCCCAAAGAAGTTTCTGAGAATGCTTCTGTCTGGATTTTATCTGAAGACAATCCCGTTTCCAACGAAATCCTCAAAGATATGCAAATATGCTCCTGCAGATTCTACAAAAAGAGTGTTTCCAAACTGCTCTATGAATAGAAAGGTTCGACTCTGTTAGTAGAGGGCACACATCACAAACAAGTTGCCGAGAATGCTTCTGTCTGGTTTTTATGGGAAGATATTTCCTTTTCCAACACTAGCCTGAATGCGCTCCAAATGGCCACTTCCAGATACGACAAAAGGCGTGTTTCAAACCTGTTCTATGAAAGGGAACGTTCCTTTCTGTGACTTGAATGCAAACATCACCAAGTAGTTTCTCAGAACGCTGCTGTCTGCTTTTTATATGTATTCCCGTTTCCAACGAAATCGTCAAAGCCCGCCAAATATCCACTTGCAGGTTCCACAGAAAGAGTGTTTCAAAACTGCTCTCTCAAAAGACATGTTCAACTCTGTCAGTTGAGGACACACATCACAAAGAAGTTTCTGAGAATGCTTCTGTCTAGTTTTTATGGGAAGATATTTCCTTTTTCACCATAGGCCTCAAAGCGCTCCAAATGTCCACTTCCAGGGAATGGAAAAAGAGTGTTTCCAACCTACTGTATGAAAGCCAATGTTCAACTCCGTGACTTGAATGCAACCATCACAAGGAAGTTTCTGAGAATGCTTCTGTCTAGGTTTTATATGAAGATATTCCCGTTTCCAACGAAATCCTCAAAGCTATCCAAATATCCACTTGGAGATTCTACAAAAAGAGTGTTTCAAAACTGCTCTATCAAAAGAAAGGTTCTACTCCGTCAGTTGAGGACACACATCACGAGTAAGTTTCTGACAATGCTTCTGTCTAGTTTTTATGGGAAGATATGTCCTTTTTCACCTTAGGCCGGAAAGCGCTCCAAAAGTCCAGTTACAGACACTACAAAAAGAGTGTTTCAAACCTGCTCTGTGAAAGGGAATGTTCAATTCTGTAACTTGAATGCAAAGATCACAAAGAAGTTGCTGAGAATGCTGCTGTCTGCTTTTTATACCTTATCGCGTTTCCAACGAAATCCTCAAATCCAGCCAAATATCCACTTGCAGACTCCACAAAAAGAGTGTTTCAAAACTATACTCTCCAAAGAAATGTTCAACTCTGTTAGTTGAGGACACACATCAGAGACTAGCTTCTGAGAATGCTTCTGTCCAGTTGTTACGGGAAGATATTTCCTTTTTCAACATAGGCCTGAAACCGCTTCAAATGTCCACTTCCAGATACTGCAAAGAGAGTGTTTCAAACCTTCTCTACGAAAGGGCATGTTCTCCTCAGTGACGTCAATGCAAACATCCCAAAGAAGTTTCTGAGAATGCTTCTGTCTGGATTTTATCTGAGGACAATCCCGTTTCCAACGAAATCCTCAAAGATATGCAAATATGCTCCTGCAGATTCTACAAAAAGAGTGTTTCAAAACTGCTCTATGAAAAGAAAGGTTCGACTCTGTTAGTAGAGGGCACACATCACAAACAAGTTGCCGAGAATGTTTCTGTCTGGTTTTTATGGGAAGATATTTCCTTTTCCAACACAAGCCTGAATGCGCTCCAAATGGACACTTCGAGATACGACAAAAGGAGTGTTTCAAACCTGTTCTGTGAAAGGGAACGTTCCATTCTGTGACTTGAATGCAAACATCACCAAGTAGTTTCTCAGAACGCTGCTGTCTGTTTTTATATGTATTCCCGTTTCCAACGAAATCGTCAAAGCCCGCCAAATATCCACTTGCAGGTTCCACAGAAAGAGTGTTTCAAAACTGCTCTCTCAAAAGACATGTTCAACTCTGTCAGTTGAGGACACACATCACAAAGAAGTTTCTGAGAATGCTTCTGTCTAGTTTTTATGGGAAGATATTTCCTTTTTCACCATAGGCCTCAAAGCGCTCCAAATGTCCACTTCCAGGGAATGGAAAAAGAGTGTTTCCAACCTACTGTATGAAAGCCAATGTTCAACTCCGTGACTTGAATGCAACCATCACAAGGAAGTTTCTGAGAATGCTTCTGTCTAGGTTTTATATGAAGATATTCCCGTTTCCAACGAAATCCTCAAAGCTACCCAAATATCCACTTGGAGATTCTACAAAAAGAGTGTTTCAAAACTGCTCTATCAAAAGAAAGGTTCTACTCCGTCAGTTGAGGACACACATCACGAGTAAGTTTCTGACAATGCTTCTGTCTAGTTTTTATGGGAAGATATGTCCTTTTTCACCTTAGGCCGGAAAGCGCTCCAAAAGTCCAGTTACAGACACTACAAAAAGAGTGTTTCAAACCTGCTCTGTGAAAGGGAATGTTCAATTCTGTGACTTGAATGCAAACATCACAAAGAAGTTGCTGAGAATGCTGCTGTCTGCTTTTTATACCTTATCCCGTTTCCAACGAAATCCTCAAATCCAGCCAAATATCCACTTGCAGACTCCACAAAAAGAGTGTTTCAAAACTGTACTGTCAAAAGAAATGTTCAACTCTGTTAGTTGAGGACACACATCAGAGACTAGCTTCTGAGAATGCTTCTGTCCAGTTGTTACGGGAAGATATTTCCTTTTTCAACATAGGCCTGAAACCACTTCAAATGTCCACTTCCAGATACTGCAAAGAGAGTGTTTCAAACCTTCTCTACGAAAGGGCATGTTCTCCTCTGTGACGTCAATGCAAACATCCCAAAGAAGTTTCTGAGAATGCTTCTGTCTGGATTTTATCTGAAGACAATCCCGTTTCCAAAGAAATCCTCAAAGATATGCAAATATGCTCCTTCAGATTCTACAAAAGGAGTGTTTCAAAACTGCTCTATGAATAGAAAGGTTCGACTCTGTTAGTAGAGGGCACACATCACAAACAAGTTGCCGAGAAGGCTTCTGTCTGATTTTTATGGGAAGATATTTCCTTTTCCAACACAAGCCTGAATGCGCACCAAACGGACACTTCGAGATACGACAAAAGGAGTGTTTCAAACCTGTTCTGTGAAAGGGAACGTTCCATTCTGTGACTTGAATGCAAACATCACCAAGTAGTTTCTCAGAACGCTGCTGTCTGCTTTTTATATGTATTCCCGTTTCCAACGAAATCGTCAAAGCCAGCCAAATATCCACTTGCAGGTTCCACAGAAAGATTGTTTCAAAACTGCTTTCTCAAAAGACATGTTCAACTCTGTCAGTTGAGGACACACATCACAAAGAAGTTTCTGAGAATGCTTCTGTCTAGTTTTTATGGGAAGATATTTCCTTTTTCACCATAGGCCTCAAAGCGCTCCAAATGTCCACTTCCAGGGAATGGAAAAAGAGTGTTTCCAACCTGCTCTATGAATGCCAATGTTCAACTCCGTGACTTGAATGCAACCATCACAAGGAAGTTTCTGAGAATGCTTCTATCTAGATTTTATATGAAGATATTCCCGTTTCCAACGAAATCCTCAAAGCTATCCAAATATCCACTTGCAGATTCTACAAAAAGAGTGTTTCAAAACTGCTCTATCAAAAGAAAGGTTCTACTCTGTTGGTTGAGGACACACATCACAAACAAGTTGCTGAGAATGCTTCTGTCTAATTTTTATGGGAAGATATGTCCTTTTTCACATTCGGCCGGAAAGCACTCCAAAAGTCCACTTACAGACACTACAAAAAGAGTGTTTCAAACCTGCTCTGTGAAAGGGAATGTTCAATTCTGTGACTTGTATGCAAACATCACAAAGAAGTTTCTGAGAATGCTGCTGTCTGCTTTTTGTACCTTATCCCGTTTCCAACGAAATCCTCAAATCCAGCCAAATATCCACTTGCACACTCCACAAAAAGAGTTTTTCAAAACTATACTCTCCAAAGAAATGTTCAACTCTGTTAGTTGAGGACACACATCAGAGACTAGCTTCTGAGAATGCTTCTGTCCAGTTGTTACGGGAAGATATTTCCTTTTTCAACATAGGCCTGAAACCGCTTCAAATGTCCACTTCCAGATACTGCAAAGAGAGTGTTTCAAACCTTCTCTACGAAAGGGCATGTTCTCCTCTGTGACGTCAATGCAAACATCCCAAAGAAGTTTCTGAGAATGCTTCTGTCTGGATTTTATGTGAAGACAATCCCGTTTCCAACGCAATCCTCAAAGCTATGCAAATATCCTCCTGCAGATTCTACAAAAAGAGTGTTTCAAAACTGCTCTATGAAAAGAAAGGTTCAGCTCTGTTAGTAGAATGCACACATCACAAACGAGTTGCTGAGAATGCTTCTGTCTAGTTTTTATGGGAAGATATTTCCTTTTTCAACACAAGCCTGAATGCGCTCCAAATGGACACTTCCAGATATGAGAAAAGGAGTGTTTCAAACCTGTTCTATCAAAGGGAATGTTCAATTCTGTGACTTGAATGCAAACATCACCAAGAAATTTCTCAGAACGCTGCTGTCTGCTTTTTATATGTATTCCCGTTTCCAACGAAATCGTCAAACCAGCTAAATATCCACTTGCAGGTTCCACAGAAAGAGTGTTTCAAAACTGCTCTCTCAAAAGACATGTTCAACTCTGTCAGTTGAGGACACACATCACAATGAAGTTTCTGAGAATGCTTCTGTCTAGTTTTTATGGGAAGATATTTCCTTTTTCACCATTGGCCTCGAAGCACTCCAAATGTCCACTTCCAGGGAATGGAAAAAGAGTGTTTCCAACCTGCTCTATGAAAGCGAATGTTCAACTCCATGATTTGAATGCAACCATCACAAGGAAGTTTCTGAGAATTCT
>NC_000020.11:26436232-26442898 GCF_000001405.40 Homo sapiens | reverse complement strand
TAAGCATTCTCCGTCACTTTCCATGTGATGGTTGCATTCGCCCTACCAGCCAGTGTGCCGCATTCGCTTTTGTAGAGCTAGTATAATCGCAGCTCTTCTTCCAAGTTCGTCGAGAAGGGGTACATGTTGCTTGAGCCCTGCAGGGCTGAAAGCGCTCGCAGCGGCCTCCCAAAGTGCTGGGATTACAGGATTGAGCCACTGCGCCCAGTCTGTGTAGTTTTTATGGGAAGATATGTCCTTTTTCACCTTAGGCCGGAAAGCGCTCCAAAAGTCCAGTTACAGACACTACAAAAAGAGTGTTTCAAACCTGCTCTGTGAAAGGGAATGTTCAATTCTGTGACTTGAATGCAAACATCACAAAGAAATTGCTGAGAATGCTGCTGTCTGCTTTTTATACCTTATCCCGTTTCCAACGAAATCCTCAAATCCAGCCACATATCCACTTGCAGACTCCACAAAAAGAGTGTTTCAAAACTATACTCTCCAAAGAAATGTTCAACTCTGTTAGTTGAGGACACACATCAGAGACTAGCTTCTGAGAATGCTTCTGTCCAGTTGTTACGGGAAGATATTTCCTTTTTCAACATAGGCCTGAAACCGCTTCAAATGTCCACTTCCAGATACTGCAAAGAGAGTGTTTCAAACCTTCTCTACGAAAGGGCATGTTCTCCTCAGTGACGTCAATGCAAACATCCCAAAGAAGTTTCTGAGAATGCTTCTGTCTGGATTTTATCTGAAGACAATCCCGTTTCCAACGAAATCCTCAAAGCTATGCAAATATGCTCCTGCAGATTCTACAAAAAGAGTGTTTCAAAACTGCTCTATGAATAGAAAGGTTCGACTCTGTTAGTAGAGGGCACACATCACAAACAAGTTGCCGAGAAGGCTTCTGTCTGGTTTTTATGGGAAGATATTTCCTTTTCCAACACAGGCCTGAATGCGCTCCAAATGGACACTTCCAGATACGACAAAAGGAGTGTTTCAAACCTGTTCTGTGAAAGGGAACGTTCCATTCTGTGACTTGAATGCAAACATCACCAAGTAGTTTCTCAGAACGCTGCTGTCTGCTTTTAATATGTATTCCCGTTTCCAACGAAATCGTCAAAGCCAGCCAAATATCCACTTGCAGGTTCCACAGAAAGAGTGTTTCAAAACTGCTCTCTCAAAAGACATGTTCAACTCTGTCAGTTGAGGACACACATCACAAATAAGTTTCTGAGAATGCTTCTGTCTAGTTTTTATGGGAAGATATTTCCTTTTTCACCATAGGCCTCAAAGCGCTCCACATGTCCACTTCCAGGGAATGGAAAAAGAGTGTTTCCAACCTGCTCTATGAAAGCGAATGTTCAACTCCGTGACTTGAATGCAACCATCACAAGGAAGTTTCTGAGAATGCTTCTGTCTAGGTTTTATATGAAGATATTCCCGTTTCCAACGAAATCCTCAAAGCTATCCAAATATCCACTTGGAGATTCTACAAAAAGAGTGTTTCAAAACTGCTCTATCAAAAGAAAGGTTCTACTCCGTCAGTTGGGGACACACATCACGAGTAAGTTTCTGACAATGCTTCTGTCTAGTTTTTATGGGAAGATATGTCCTTTTTCACCTTAGGCCGGAAAGCGCTCCAAAAGTCCAGTTACAGACACTACAAAAAGAGTGTTTCAAACCTGCTCTGTGAAAGGGAATGTTCAATTCTGTGACTTGAATGCAAACATCACAAAGAAGTTGCTGAGAATGCTGCTGTCTGCTTTTTATACCTTATCCCGTTTCCAACGAAATCCTCAAATCCAGCCAAATATCCACTTGCAGACTCCACAAAAAGAGTGTTTCAAAACTGTACTGTCAAAAGAAATGTTCAACTCTGTTAGTTGAGGACACACATCAGAGACTAGCTTCTGAGAATGCTTCTGTCCAGTTGTTACGGGAAGATATTTCCTTTTTCAACATAGGCCTGAAACCACTTCAAATGTCCACTTCCAGATACTGCAAAGAGAGTGTTTCAAACCTTCTCTACGAAAGGGCATGTTCTCCTCTGTGACGTCAATGCAAACATCCCAAAGAAGTTTCTGAGAATGCTTCTGTCTGGATTTTATCTGAAGACAATCCCGTTTCCAAAGAAATCCTCAAAGATATGCAAATATGCTCCTTCAGATTCTACAAAAGGAGTGTTTCAAAACTGCTCTATGAATAGAAAGGTTCGACTCTGTTAGTAGAGGGCACACATCACAAACAAGTTGCCGAGAAGGCTTCTGTCTGATTTTTATGGGAAGATATTTCCTTTTCCAACACAAGCCTGAATGCGCTCCAAATGGACACTTCGAGATACGACAAAAGGAGTGTTTCAAACCTGTTCTGTGAAAGGGAACGTTCCATTCTGTGACTTGAATGCAAACATCACCAAGTAGTTTCTCAGAACGCTGCTGTCTGCTTTTTATATGTATTCCCGTTTCCAACGAAATCGTCAAAGCCAGCCAAATATCCACTTGCAGGTTCCACAGAAAGATTGTTTCAAAACTGCTTTCTCAAAAGACATGTTCAACTCTGTCAGTTGAGGACACACATCACAAAGAAGTTTCTGAGAATGCTTCTGTCTAGTTTTTATGGGAAGATATTTCCTTTTTCACCATAGGCCTCAAAGCGCTCCAAATGTCCACTTCCAGGGAATGGAAAAAGAGTGTTTCCAACCTGCTCTATGAATGCCAATGTTCAACTCCGTGACTTGAATGCAACCATCACAAGGAAGTTTCTGAGAATGCTTCTGTCTTGATTTTATATGAAGATCTTCCCGTTTCCAACGAAATCCTCAAATGTATCCAAATATCCACTTGCAGATTCTACAAAAAGAGTGTTTCAAAACTGCTCTATCAAAAGAAAGGTTCTACTCCGTCAGTTGAGGACACACATCACGAGCAAGTTTCTGAGAATGCTTCTGTGTAGTTTTTATGGGAAGATATGTCCTTTTTCACCTTAGGCCGGAAAGCGCTCCAAAAGTCCAGTTACAGACACTACAAAAAGAGTGTTTCAAACCTGCTCTGTGAAAGGGAATGTTCAATTCTGTGACTTGAATGCAAACATCACAAAGAAATTGCTGAGAATGCTGCTGTCTGCTTTTTATACCTTATCCCGTTTCCAACGAAATCCTCAAATCCAGCCAAATATCCACTTGCAGACTCCACAAAAAGAGTGTTTCAAAACTATACTCTCCAAAGAAATGTTCAACTCTGTTAGTTGAGGACACACATCAGAGACTAGCTTCTGAGAATGCTTCTGTCCAGTTGTTACGGGAAGATATTTCCTTTTTCAACATAGGCCTGAAACCGCTTCAAATGTCCACTTCCAGATACTGCAAAGAGAGTGTTTCAAACCTTCTGTACGAAAGGGCATGTTCTCCTCAGTGACGTCAATGCAAACATCCCAAAGAAGTTTCTGAGAATGCTTCTGTCTGGATTTTATCTGAAGACAATCCCGTTTCCAACGAAATCCTCAAAGATATGCAAATATGCTCCTGCAGATTCTACAAAAAGAGTGTTTCAAAACTGCTCTATGAATAGAAAGGTTCGACTCTGTTAGTAGAGGGCACACATCACAAACAAGTTGCCGAGAAGGCTTCTGTCTAGTTTTTATGGGAAGATATTTCCTTTTTCAACACAAGCCTGAATGCGATCCAAATGGACACTTCCAGATACGACAAAAGGAGTGTTTCAAACCTGTTCTATGAAAGGGAACGTTCCATTCTGTGACTTGAATGCAAACATCAACAAGTAGTTTCTCATAACGCTGCTGTCTGCTTTTTATATGTATTCCCGTTTCCAAGGAAATCGTCAAAGCCAGCCAAATATCCACTTGCAGATTCCACAAAAAGAGTGTTTCAAAACTGCCCTCTCAAAAGAAATGTTCAACTCTGTCAGTTGAGGACACACATCACAAATAAGTTTCTGAGAATGCTAATGTCTAGTTTTGATGGGAAGATGTTTCCTTTTTCACCATAGGCCTCGAAGCGCTCCAAATGTCCACTTCCAGAGAATGGAAAAAGAGTATTTCCCACCTGCTCTATGAAAGCGAATGCTCAACTCTGTGAATTGAATGCAACCATCACAAGGAAGTTTCTGAGAATTCTTCTGTCTAGATTTTATAGGAAGATATTCCCGTTTCCAACGAAATCCTCAAAGCTATCAAAATATCCACTTGCAGATTCTACAAAAGGAGTGTTTCAAAACTGCTCTATCAAAAGAAAGGTTCGACTCCGTTAATTGAGGACACACATCACGAGTAAGTTTCTGAGAATGCTTCTGTCTAGTTTTTATGGGAAGATATGTCCTTTTTCACCTTAGGCCGGAAAGCGCTCCAAAAGTCCAGTTACAGACACTACAAAAAGAGTGTTTCAAACCTGCTCTGTGAAAGGGAATGTTCAATTCTGTAACTTGAATGCAAAGATCACAAAGAAGTTGCTGAGAATGCTGCTGTCTGCTTTTTATACCTTATCCCGTTTCCAACGAAATCCTCAAATCCAGCCAAATATCCACTTGCAGACTCCACAAAAAGAGTGTTTCAAAACTATACTCTCCAAAGAAATGTTCAACTCTGTTAGTTGAGGACACACATCAGAGACTAGCTTCTGAGAATGCTTCTGTCCAGTTGTTACGGGAAGATATTTCCTTTTTCAACATAGGCCTGAAACCGCTTCAAATGTCCACTTCCAGATACTGCAAAGAGAGTGTTTCAAACCTTCTCTACGAAAGGGCATGTTCTCCTCAGTGACGTCAATGCAAACATCCCAAAGAAGTTTCTGAGAATGCTTCTGTCTGGATTTTATCTGAAGACAATCCCGTTTCCAACGAAATCCTCAAAGATATGCAAATATGCTCCTGCAGATTCTACAAAAAGAGTGTTTCAAAACTGCTCTATGAATAGAAAGGTTCGACTCTGTTAGTAGAGGGCACACATCACAAACAAGTTGCCGAGAAGGCTTCTGTCTAGTTGTTATGGGAAGATATATCCTTTTTCAACACAAGCCTGAATGCGCTCCGAATGGACACTTCCAGATATGAGAAAAGGAGTGTTTCAAACCTGTTCCATCAAAGGGAATGTTCAATTCTGTGACTTGAATGCAAACATCACCAAGAAGTTTCTCAGAACGCTGCTGTCTGCTTTTTATATGTATTCCCGTTTCCAACGAAATCGTCAAAGCCAGCCAAATATCCACTTGCAGGTTCCACAGAAAGAGTGTTTCAGAACTGCTCTCTCAAAAGACATGTTCAACTCTGTCAGTTGAGGACACACATCACAAAGAAGTTTCTGAGAATGCTTCTGTCTAGTTTTTATGGGAAGATATTTCCTTTTTCACCAAAGGCCTCAAAGCGCTCCAAATGTCCACTTCCAGGGAATGGAAAAAGAGTGTTTCCAACCTGCTCTATGAAAGCCAATGTTCAACTCCGTGACTTGAATGCAACCATCACAAGGAAGTTTCTGAGAATGCTTCTGTCTAGATTTTATATGAAGATATTCCCGTTTCCAATGAAATCCTCAAAGCTATCCAAATATCCACTTGCAGATTCTACAAAAAGAGTGTTTCAAAACTGCTCAATCAAAAGAAAGGTTCTACCCCGTTAGTTGAGGACACACATCACGAGTAAGTTTCTGAGAATGCTTCTGTCTAGTTTTTATGGGAAGATATGTCCTTTTTCACCTTAGGCCGGAAAGCGCTCCAAAAGTCCAGTTACAGACACTACAAAAAGAGTGTTTCAAACCTGCTTTGTGAAAGGGAATGTTCAATTCTGTGACTTGAATGCAAACATCACAAAGAAATTGCTGAGAATGCTGCTGTCTGCTTTTTATATGTAATCCCGTTTCCAACGAAATCCGCAACTCTAGCCAAATATCCACTTGCAGAATCCACAAAAAGAGTGTTTCAAAACTGTTCTGTCAAAAGAAATGTTCAACTGTGTTAGTTGAGGACACACATCAGAAACTAGTTTCTGAGAATGCTTCTGTCCAGTTGTTAAGGGAAGATATTTCCTTTTTCAGCATAGGCCTGAAACTGCTCCAAATGTCCACTTCCAGATACTGCAAAGAGAGTGTTTCAAACCTTCTCTACGAAAGGGCATGTTCTCCTCTGTGACTTGTATGCAAACATCCCAAGGAAGTTTCTGAGAATGCTTCTGTCTGGATTTTATCTGAAGACAATCCCGTTTCCAACGAAATCCTCAAAGATATGCAAATATGCTCCTGCAGATTCTACAAAAAGTGTGTTTCAAAACTGCTCTATGAATAGAAAGGTTCGACTCTGTTAGTAGAGGGCACACATCACAAACAAGTTGCCGAGAAGGCTTCTGTCTGATTTTTATGGGAAGATATTTCCTTTTCCAACACAAGCCTGAATGCGCTCCAAATGGACACTTCCAGATACGACAAAAGGAGTGTTTCAAACCTGTTCTGTGAAAGGGAACGTTCCATTCTGTGACTTGGATGCAAACATCACCAAGTAGTTTCTCAGAACGCTGCTGTCTGCTTTTTATATGTATTCCCGTTTCCAACGAAATCGTCAAAGCCAGCCAAATATCCACTTGCAGGTTCCACAGAAAGAGTGTTTCAGAACTGCTCTCTCAAAAGACATGTTCAACTCTGTCAGTTGAGGACACACATCACAAAGAAGTTTCTGAGAATGCT
>NC_000020.11:26382616-26386232 GCF_000001405.40 Homo sapiens | reverse complement strand
AACCTGCTCTATGAAAGTGAATGTTCAACTCCGTGACTTGAATGCAACCATCACAAGGAAGTTTCTGAGAATGCTTCTATCTAGATTTTATATGAAGATATTCCCGTTTCCAACGAAATCCTCAAAGCTATCCAAATATCCACTTGCAGATTCTACAAAAAGAGTGTTTCAAAACTGCTCTATCAAAAGAAAGGTTCTACTCTGTTGGTTGAGGACACACATCACAAACAAGTTGCTGAGAATGCTTCTGTCTAATTTTTATGGGAAGATATGTCCTTTTTCACATTCGGCCGGAAAGCACTCCAAAAGTCCACTTACAGACACTACAAAAAGAGTGTTTCAAACCTGCTCTGTGAAAGGGAATGTTCAATTCTGTGACTTTTATGCAAACATCACAAAGAAGTTTCTGAGAATGCTGCTGTCGGCTTTTTATTCGTAATCCCGTTTCCAACGAAATCCTCAAATCTAGCCAAATATCCACTTTCAGACTCCCCAAAAAGAGTATTTCAAAACTCTTCTGTCTAAAGAAATGTTCAACTCTATTAGTTGAGGACACACATGAGAGACTAGCTTCTGAGTATGCTTCTGTCCAGTTGTTACGGGAAGATATTTCCTTTTTCAACATAGGCCTGAAACCGCTCCAAAAGTCCACTTCCAGATACTACAAAAACAGTGTTTCAAACCTTCTCTACGAAAGGGCATGTTCTCCTCTGTGACTTGAATGCAAACATCCCAAAGAAGTTTCTGAGAATGCTCCTGTCTGGATTTTATCTGAAGACAATCCCGTTTCCAACGAAATCCTCAAATTTATGCAAATATCCTCCTGCAGATTCTACAAAAAGAGTGTTTCAAAACTGCTCTATGAAAAGAAAATTTCAAATCTGTTTGTAGAGGGCACACATCACAAACAAGTTGCTGAGAATGCTTTTGTCTGTATTTTATAGGAAGATATTTCCTTTTTCAACACAAGCCTTAATGCGCTCCAAATGGACACTTCCAGATACGACAAAAGGAGTGTTTCAAACCTGTTCTATGAAAGGGAACGTTCCATTCCGTGACTTGAATGCAAACATCACCAAGAAGTTTCTCAGAACGCTGCTGTCTGCTTTTTATATGTATTTCCGTTTCCAACGAAATCGTCAAAGCCAGCCAAATATCCACTTGCAGATTCCACAAAAGTAGTGTTTCAATTCTGCTCCCTCAAAAGAAATGTTCAACTCTGTCAGTTGAGGATACACATCACAAAAAAGTTTCTGAGAATGCTTCTGTCTAGTTTTTATGGGAAGATATTTCCTTTTTCACCATAGGCCTCAAAGCGCTCCAAATGTCCACTTCCAGGGAATGCAAAAAGAGTGTTGTCAACCTGCTCTATGAAAGCAAATGTTCAACTCCGTGACTTGAATGCAACCATCACAAGGAAGTTTCTGAGAATGCTTCTGTCTAGATTTTATATGAAGATATTCCCGTTTCCAACGAAATCCTCAAAGCTATCCAAATATCCACTTGCAGATTCTACAAAAAGAGTGTTTCAAAACTGCTCTATCAAAAGAAAGATTCTACTCCGTTGGTTGAGGACACACATCACAAACAAGTTGCTGAGAATGCCTCTGTCTAGTTTTTATGGGAAGATATTTCCTTTTTCAACACAAGCCTGAATGCACTCCAAAGGAACACTTCCACATACGACAAAAGGAGTTTTTCAAACCTGTTCTATGAAAGAGAACGTTCCATTCTGTGACTTGAATGCAAACATCACCAAGAAGTTTCTCAGAACGCTGCTGTCTATTTTTTATATGTATTCCCGTTTCCAACTAAATCGTCAAAGCCAGCCATATATCCGCTTGCAGATTCCATAAAAAGAGTGTTTCAAAACTGCTCTCTCAAAACAAATGTTCAACTCTGTCATTTGAGGACACACATCACAAATAAGTTTCTGAGAATGCTTCTGTCTAGGTTTTATGGGAAGATATTTCCTTTTCCACCTTAGGCCTCAAAGCGCTCCAAACGTCCACTTTCAGGGAATGGAAAAAGAGTGTTTCCAACCTGCTCTATGAAAGCGAATGTTCAACTCCGTGACTTGAAAGCAACCATCACAAGGAAGTTTCTGAGAATGCTTCTGTCTAGATTTTATAGGAAGATATTCCCGTTTCCAACGAAATCCTCAAAGCTATCCAAATATCCACTTGCAGATTCTACAAAAGGAGTGTTTCAAAACTGCTCTATCAAAAGAAAGGTTCGACTCCGTTAATTGAGGACACACATCACGAGTAAGTTTCTGAGAATGCTTCTGTCTAGGTTGTATGGGAAGATATGTCCTTTTTCACCTTAGGCCGGAAACTGCTCCAAAGGTCCACTTACAGGCACTACGAAAAGAGTGTTTCAAACCTGCTCTGTGAAAGGGAATGTTCAATTCTGTGACTTGAATGCAAACATCACAAAGAAGTTTCTGAGAATGCTGCTGTCGTCTTTTTGTACGTAATCCCGTTTCCAATGAAATCCTGAAATCTAGCCAAATATTCACTTGAAGACTCCACAAAAAGAGTGTTTCAAAACTGTTCTGTGTAAAGAAATGTTCAACTCTCTTAGTTGAGGACACACATCAGAGACTAGCTTCTGAGAATGCTTCTGTGCAGTTTTTGCAGGAAGATATTTCTTTTTTCAACATAGGCCTGAGACCACTCCAAATTTCCACTTCCAGATACTACAAAGGAATGTTTCAAACCTCCTCTACGAAAGGGAATGTTCTCCTCCATGACTTGAATGCAAACATCCCACATAAGTTTCTGAGAATGCTTCTGTCTAGATTTAATCTGAAGACAATTCCGTTACCATCGAAATCCTCAAAGCTATGCAAAAATCCTCCTGCAGATTGTACAAAAGGAGTGTTTCAAAACTGCTCTATGAAAAGAAAGGTTCAACTCTGTTAGTAGAGGGCACACATCACAAACAAGTTGCTGAGAATGCTTCTGTCTAGTTTTTATGGGAAGATATTCCCTTTTTCAACACAAGCCTGAATGCGCTCCTCATGAACACTTCCAGATATGACAAAAGGAGTGTTTCAAACCTGTTCTATGAAAGGGAATGTACAACTCTGTGACTTGAATGCAAACATCACCAAGAAGTTTCTCAGAACGTTGCTGTCTGCTTTTTATATGTATTCGCGTTTCCAACGAAATCCTCAAAACCAGCCAAATATCCCATTGCAGGTTCCACAAAAACAGTGTTTCATAAATGCTGTCTCAAAAGAAATATTCCACTCTGTTAGTTGAGGATACACATCACAAAAAGTTTCCGAGAATGCTTCTGTCTAGTTTTTATGGGAAGATATTTCCTTTTTTACCATAGGCCGCAAAGCACTCCAAATGTCCACTTCAAGATAATGGAAAAAGATTGTTTCCAACCTGCTCTATGAAAGCGAATGTTCAACTCTTGTGACTTGAATGCAACCATCACAAGGAAGTTTCTGAGAATGCTTCTGTCTAGATTTTATACGAAGATATTCCCGTTTCCAACGAAATCCTCAAAGCTATCCAAATATCCACTTGCAGATTCTACAAAAAGAGTGTTTCAAAACTGTTCTATCAAAAGAAAGGTTCTACTCTGTTAGGTGAGGACA
>NC_000020.11:26365414-26382164 GCF_000001405.40 Homo sapiens | reverse complement strand
TCTGAGAATGCTTCTGTCTAGTTTTTATGGGAAGGTATTGCCTTTTTCACCATAGGCCTGAAAACGCTACAAATGTCCACTTCCAGATAATGGATAAAGAGTGTTTCAAACATGCTCTGTGAAAGGGAATGTTCAACTCTGTGACTTGAATGCAAACATCACAGAGAAGATTCTGAGAATGCTGCTGTCTGCTTTTAATATGTATTCCCGTTTCAACGAAATCCTCCAAGCTGCCCTAATATCCACTTGCATATTCCACAAAAAGAGTGTTTCAATTCTGCTCTCTCAAAAGAAAGGTTCAACTCTGTTAGCTGAGTAGATACATCATAAAAAAGTTTCTGACATTGCTTCTATCTAGTTTTTATTGGAAGATATTTCCTTTTTCTCCGTAGTCCTGAAAGCGCTCCAAATGTCCACTTCCAGATACTACAAAATAGTGTTTCAAACCTGCTCTATGAAAGGGAATGTTTAACACTGCGACTTCAATTGAAACATCCCAAAGAAGTTTCTGAGAATGCTTCTGTCTAGTTTTTATGGGAAGATATTTCCTTTTTCACCATAGGCCTCAAAGCGCTCCAAATGTCCACTTGCAGTTTCTACAGTGTGTTTCAAACCTGCTCTATGAAAGCGAATGTTCAACTCTGTGACTTGAATGCAACCATCACAAGGAAGTTTCTGAGAATGCTTCCGTCTGGATTTTATATGAAGATATTCCCGTTTCCAACAAAATCCTCAAAGCTATCCAAATATCCACTTGCAGATTCTACAAAAAGAGTGTTTCAAAACTGCTCTCTCAAAAGAAATGTTCACCTCTGTTAGTTGAGGACACACATCACAAATAAGTTTCTGAGAATGCTTCTGTCTAGTTTTTATTGGAAGATATTTCCTTTTCACCATAGGCCTGAAAGCGCTCCAAATGTCCACTTCCAGACCCTAGCAAAAGAGTGTTTCAAACCTGCTCTGTGAAAGGGAATGTTCAACTCTGTGACTTGAATGCAAACATCACAAAGAAGTTTCTGAGAATGCTGCTGTCTGCCTTTTATATGTATTCCCGTTTCCAACGAAATCCTCTAAGCTGGCATAATATCCACTTGCAGATTCCACAAAAAGAGTGTTTCAAAACTGCTCTCTCAGAAGAAATGTTCAACTCTGTTAGATGAGTAGATACATCAAAAAAAAGTTTCTGACATTGCTTCTGTCTAGTTCTTATTGGAAGATATTTCCTTTTTCACCGTAGTCCTGAAAGCGCTCCCAATGTCCACTTCCAGATACTACCAAAAGAGTGTTTCAAACCTGCTCTATGAATGGTAATGTTCAACTCTGTGACTTGAATTGAAACCTCCCAAAGAAGTTTCTGAGAATGCTTTTGTCTAGATTTTATATTTGTCTAGATTTTATATTATCTGAAGACAATGCCGTTTCCAACGAAATCCTCAAAGCTATCCAAATATCCTCTTGCAGATTCTACAGAAAGAGCGTAGCAAAACTGCTCCATGAAAAGAAAGGTTCAACTCTGTTAGAGGGCACACATAAAGTTTCTGAGAATGCTTCTGTTTATTTTTTATGGAAAGATATTTCCTTTTTCAACACAAGCCTGAATGCGCTCCAAATGGACACTTCCAGATATGACAAAAGGAGTGTTTCAAACCTGCTTTATGAAAGGGAATGTTCAACTCTGTGACTTGAATGCAAACATCACAAAGAAGTTTCTGAGAATGCTGCTGTCTGCTTTTTATATGTATTCCCGTTTCCAACGAAATCCACAAACCTAGCCAAATATCTACTTGCAGATTCCACAAAAAGAGAGTTTTGAAGCTGCTCTCTAAAAAGGTAGGTTCAACTCTGTTAACTGAGAAGACACATCATAGAAAAGTTTCTGACATTGCTTCTATCTAGTTTTTATTGGAAGATATTTCCTTTTTCAACATAGGCTTGAAGCGCTCCAAATATCCACTTCCAGATACTATAAAAAGAGTGTTTCAAACCTGCTCTATGTAAGGGAATGTTCATCTCTGTTACTTGAATGCAAACATCCCTAAGAAGTTTCTGAGAATGCTTCTGTCTAGATTTTCTATCAAGACATTCCCGTTTCCAACGAAATCTTCAAACCTATCCAAATATCTTCTTGCAGATTCTACAAAAAGAGGGTGTAAAAACTGCTCTATGAAAAGACAGGTTCAACTCTGTTAGTAGAGGGAACACATCACAAACAAGTTTCTGAGAATGCTTTTTTCTAGTTTTTATGGGAAGATATTTCCTTTTTCAACATAGGCCTGAAAGCTCTCCGAACGTCCACTTCCAGATACTACAAAAAGAGTGTTTCAAACCTGCTCTATGAAAGGGAATGTTCTACTCTGTGACTTGAATGCAAACATCACAAAAATGTTTCTGAGAATGCTGTTTTCTGCTTTTTACGTATATTCCCCTTTCCAACAAAATCCTCAAAGCTATCAAAATATCCATTGCAGATTCTACAAAAAGAGTGTTTCAAAACTGCTCTATCGAAAGAAAGGTTCAACTTGGTTAGTTGAGGGCACTCATCACAAATAAGTTTATGACAATGCTTCTGTCTAGTCTTTATGGGAAGATATTTCCTTTTTCACAAAGGCCTGAAAGCACTCCAAATGTCCACTTCTAGATACTATAAACGGAGTGTTTCAAGCCTACTCTAAGAAAGGGAATGTTCAACTCTGTTACTTGAATGCAAACGTCACAAAGGAGATTCTCTGACCGCTGCAATCTGCTTTTTATATGTATTCCCGTTTTCATCGAAATCCTAAAAGCTAGACAAATATCCAGTTGCAGATTCCACAAAAGACTGTTTCAAAACTGCTATCACAAAAGAAATTTTCAACTGTGTTAGTTGAAGACACACATCACAAATAAGTTTCTGAGAATGCTTCTGTCTAGCTTTTATGGGAAGATATTTCCTTTTTCACCATATGCCTGAAAGCGCTCCAAATGTCCACATCCAGATAGTAGAAAAAGAGTGTTTCAAGCGTGCTCTATTAAGAGGAATGTTCAACTCTGTGACTTGAATGCAAATATCACAAAGAAGTTTCTGAACATTCTTCTGTCTAGATTTTATATGATGATATTCCCGTTTCCTACGAAATCCTCAAATCTATGCAAATATCCACTTGCAGATTCTACAAAAAGAGTGTTTCAAAACTGCTCTAGCAAAAGAAAGGTTCAACTCTGTTAGTTGAGGGTACACATCACAAAAAAGTTTCTGAGAATGCTTCTGTCTAGTTTTTATGGGAAGATATTTCCTTTTTCCCGTAGGCCTAAAAGCGATCCAAATGTCCACTTCTAGATACTACAAAGGAGTGTTTCAGACCTGCTCTATGAAATGGAATGTTCAACTCTGTGACTTGCATGCAACCATCACAAGGAAGTTTCTGAGAATGCTTCTGTCTAGATTTTACATGAAGATATTCCCGTTTCCAACGAAATCCTCAAAGCTATCCAAATATCCACTTGCATCTTCTTCAAAAAGAGTGTTTCAAAACTGCTCTATGAAAAGAAAGTTTCACCTCTGTTAGTTTAGGACACACATCACGAATAAGCTTCTGAGAATGCTTCTGTCTAGTTTTTATGGGAAGATATTACCTTTTTCACCTCAGCCCTGAAATCACTCCAAATGTCCACTTCCAGATACCACAAAAGGAGTGTTTCAAACCTGCTCTATGAAAGGGAGTGTTCAACTCTGTGACTTGAATGCAAACATCACAAAGAAGTTTCTCAGAACGCTGCTGTCTGCTTTTTATATGTATTCCCGTTTCCAAAGAATTCCCCAAAGCTAGCCAAATATCCACTTGCAGATTCCACAAAAAGAGCGTTTCAAAACTGCCCGTCAAAACAAAGGTTCAATTCCGTTAGTTGAATACACACATCACAAATAAGCTTCAAAGAATGCTTCTGTCTAGTTTTTATGGGAAGATAGTTCCTTTTTCAACACAAGCCAGAATGCGCTCCAAATGGACACTTCCAGATACGACAAAAGGAGTGTTTCAAACATGCTCTATGAAAGGGAATGTTCTACTCTGTGACTTGAATGCAAACATCACAAAGAAGTTTCTGATAATGCTGTTTTCTGCTTTTTACATATATTCCCGTTTCCAACGAAATCCTCAAAACTATCCAAATATCCACTTGCAGATTATACAAAAAGAATGTTTCAAAACTGCTCTATCAAAAGAAAGGTTTATCACTGTTTGTTGAGGGCACTCATCACAAATAAGTTTCTGAGAATGCTTTTGTCTGCTTTTTATATGTATTCCCGTTTCCAACGAAATACTCAAAGCTGACCTAATGTCCACTTGCAGATTCCACAAAAAGAGTGTTTCAAAACTGCTCTCTCAAAAGAAAGGTTCAACTCTGTTAGCTGAGTAGACACATCAAAAAATAGTTTCTGACATTGCTTCTATCTAGTTTTTATTGGAAGATATTTCCTTTTTCACCGTAGGCCTGAAAGCGCTCCAAATGTCCACATCCAGGTACTACAAAAAGAGTGTTTCAAACCTGCTCTATGTAAGGGAATGTTCAACTCTGTGACTTGAATGCAAACATCCCAAAGAAGTTTCTGAGAATGCTTCTATCTAGATTTTATATGAAGATATTCCCGTTTCCAAAGAAATTCACAAAGCTATCCAAATATCTTCTTGCAGATTCTACAAAAAGAGTGTTTCAAAACTGCTCTATCAAAAGAAACGTTCAACTCTGTTAGTAGAGGGCACACATCACAAACAAGTTTCTGAGAATGCTTCCGTCTCGTTTTTATGGGAAGATATTCCTCTTTTCAAAATAGGCCTGAAAGCGCTCCAAATGTCCACTTCCAGATACTACAAAACGAGTGTTTCAATCCTGCTCTATGAAAGGGAATGTTCAACTGTGTGACTTGAATACAAACATCACAAAGGTGTTTCTCAGAACGCTGCAGTCTGCATTTTACATGTATTCCCCCTTCCAACGAAATCCTCAAAGCTAGCCAAATATCCAACTGCAGATTGTAGAAAAACAGTGTTTCAAAACTGCTCTATCAAAACAAAGGTTCACCTTTGTTAGTTGAGTGAATACATCATAAACAAGTTTCTGAGAATGCTTCTGTCTAGTTTTTATGGGAAGATATTACCTTTTTCACCTTAGCCCTGAAAGCGCTCCAAATGTCCACGTCCAGATACTACAAAAGGAGTGTTTCAATCCTCCTCTATGAAAAGGAGTGTTCAACTCTGAGACGTGAATGCAAACATCACAAAGAAGGTTCTCAGAATGCTGCTGTCTGCTTTTTATGTATATTCGCGTTTCCAACGATATCCACAATGCTAGCCAAATATCCTATTGCAGATTCCAAAAAAAGAGTGTTTCAAATCTGCTCCATCAAAACAAAGATTCAATTCTGTTAGTTGAGTACACACATCACAAATAAATTTCTGAGAATGCTTCTGTCTAATATTTACAGGAAGATATTTCCTTTTTCAACACAAGCCTGAATGCGCTTCAAATGGACACTTCCAGATATGACAAAAGGAGTGTTTCAAACCTGCGCTATGAAAGGGAATTTTCAACTCTGTGACTTGAATGCAAACATCACAAAGAAGTTTCTGAAAACGCAGCTGTCTGCTTTTTATATGTATTCCCATTTCCAGCGAAATCCTCAAAGCGAGCCATATATCCACTTGCAGATTCCACAAGAAAATTGTTTTAAGACTGCTGTCTCAAAAGAAATGTTCAACACTGTTAGTTGAGGACACACATCACAAATAAGTTTCTGAGAATGCTTTTGTCTGGTTTTTATATGTATTCCCGTTACCAACGAAATCCTCAAACTGTCCGAATTTCCACTTGCAGATTCCACAAAAAGAGTGTTTCAAAACTGCTCTATCAAAAGAAATGTTCAGCTCTGTTAGCTGAGTAGACACATCATAAAAAAGTTTCTGACATTGCTTCTATCTACTTTATATTGGAAGATATTTCCTTTTTCACTATACGCCTGAAAGCTCTCCAAATATCCTCTTCCAGATCATGTAAAAAGAGTGTTTCAAACCTGCTCTATGAAAGGGAATGTTGAACTCTGTGACTTGAATTGAAACATCCCAAAGAAGTTTCTGAGAATGCTTCTGTCTAGAGTTTATATGAAGACATTCCCGTTTCAAACGAAATTCTCAAAGCTATCCAAATATCGTCTTGCAGATTTTACAAGAAGAATGTTTCAAAACTGCTCTATCAAAAGAAAGTTTCTGCTCTGTTAGTTGAGGGCACACATCACAAATAAGTTTCTGAGAACGCTTCTGTCTAGTTTTTATGGGAAGATATTTCCTCTTGCACCCTGGACCTGAAAGCGCTCCAAATGTCCACATCCAGATACTACAAAAAGACTGTTTCAAACCTGCTCTATGAAAGGGAATGTTCTACTCTGTGACTTGAATGCAAAAATCACAAAGAAGTTTCTGAGAATGCTGTTTTCTGCTTTTTATATATATTCCCGTTTCCAACGAAATCCTCAAAATTCTCCAAATATCCACTTGCAGATTCTACAAAAAGAGTGTTTCAAAACTGCTCTATCAAAAGAAAGGTTCAACTTTGTTACTAGAGTATATATATCATAAACAAGTTTCTGAGAATACTTCTGTGTATTTTTTATGGAAAGATATTTCCTTTTTCACCTTAGCCTTGAAAGCGCTCCAATTGTCCACTTCCAGATACTACAAGAGGAGTGTTTCAAACCTGCTCTATGAAAGGGAGTGTTCAACTCTGTGACTTGAATACAAATATCACAAAAGTGTTTCTCAGAACGCTGCTGTCTGCTTTTTATATGTATTCCCGTTTCCAACGAAATCCACAAAGCTAGCCAAATATCCACTTGCAGATTCCACAAAAAGAGAGTTTCAAAACTGCTCTCTCAAAAGAAATATTCAACTCTGTTAGTTGAGGACACACATCACAAATAAGTTTCTGAGAAAGCTTCTGTCTGATTTTTATTGGAGGATATTTCCTTTTTCACCATAGGCCTGAAAGCACTCCAAATGTCCACTTCCAGATGGTAGAAAAAGTGTTTCAAACCTTCTCTATGAAAAAGAATGTTCAACTCTGTGACTTGAATGCAAACATCACAAAGATGTTTCTGAGAATGCTTCTGTATAGATTTTATATGAAGATATTCCCGTTTCCTACGAAATCCTCAAATCTATCCAAATATCCACTTGCAGATTCTACAAAAAGAGTGCTTCTAAACTGCTCTATCAAAAGAATGCTTCAACTCTGTTAGTTGAGGGCACACATCACAAATAAGTTTCTGAGAATGCTTCTGTCTAGTTTTTATGGGAAGTTATTTCCGTTTTCCTGTAGGGCTGAAAGAGATCCAAATGTCCACTTCCAGATACTACAAAGGAGTGTTTCAAACTTGCTCTATGAAAGGGAATGTTCAACTCTGTGACTTGAATGCAACCATCACAAGGAAGTTTCTGAGAATGCTTCTGTCTAGATTTTATACGAAGATACTCCCGTTTCCAACGAAAACCTCAAATCTATCCAAATATCCACTTGTAGATTCTACAAAAAGAGTGTTTCAAAACTGCTCTATGAAAAGAAAGTTTCAACTCTGTTAGTTGAGGACACACATCACGAATAAGCTTCTGAGAATGCTTCTGTCTAGTTGTTAGGGGAAGATATTTCCTTTTTCAACATAGGCCTATAAGCGCTCCAAATGTCCACTTCCAGATACTACAAAAGGAGTGTTTCAAACCTGCTTTATGAAGGGGAATGTTCAACTCGGTGACTTGAATACAAATATCACAAAGATATTTCTCAGAACGCTGCAGTCTGCATTTTATATGTATTCCCGCTTCCAAAGAAATCCTCACAGCTAGCCAAATATCCAATTGCAGATTCCACAAAAAGAGTGTTTCAGAACTGCTCTATCAATAGAAAATTTTAACTTTGTTAGTTGAGTAGATACATCATAAACAAGTTTCTGAGAATGCTTCTGTCTAGTTTTTATGGGACTATATTTCGTTTTTCACCTTAGCCCTGAAAGCGCTCCAAATGTCCACTTCCAGATACTACAAAAAGAGTGTTTCAAACCTGCTCTACGAAAGGTAGTGTTGAACTCTGTGACTTGAATGCAAACATCACAAAGAAGTTTCTCAGAACGCTGTTGTCTGCTTTTTATATGGATTCCCGATTCCAACGAATTCCACAAATCTAGCGAAATATCCACTTGCAGATTCCACAAAAAGACTTTTTCAAAACTGTTCTGTCAAAACAAAGTTCAATTCTGTTAGTTGAGTACACCCATCACAAATAAGTTTCTGAGAATGATTCTGTCTAGTTTTTATGGTAAGATATTTTCTTTTTCAACACAAGCCTGAATACGCTCCAAATGGATACTTCCAGATATGACAGATGAAGTGTTTTATACCTTCTCTATGAGAGGGAATGTTCAATTCTGTGACTTAAATTCAAACATCACAAAGTAGTTTCTCAGAACACTGCTGTCTGATTTTATATGTATTCCCATATCCAACGAAATCCTCAGAGCCAGCCAAATATCCACTTGCAGATTACACAAAAAGAGTGTTTGTAAACTGCTCTCTCAAAAGAAATGCTCAACTCTGTTAGTTCAGGACACACATCACAAATAAATTTCTGAGAATGCTTCTGTCTAGTTTTTATTGGAAGATATTTCCTTTTTCGCCATAGGCCTGAAAGCGCTACAAATGTCCACTTCCAGATGATTGAAAAAGTGTTTCAAACCTGCTCTATGAAAGGGAATGTTCTACTCTGTGACTTGAGTGCAAACATCACAAAGAAGTTTTTGAGAATTCTATTTTCTGCTTTTTACATATATTCACGTTTCCAACGAAATCTTCAAAGCTATCCAAATATCTGCTTTTTTGCAGATTCTGCAAAAAAGTGTTTCAAAACTGCTCTATCAAAAGAAAGATTCAACTCTGTTAGTTGAGGGCACTCATCACAAATAACTTTCTGAGAATTCTTCTGTCTACTTTTTATGGGAAGATATTTCCTTTTTCAACATATGTCTGAAAGCACTCCAAATGTCCACTTCTAGATACTATAAAAGGAGTGTTTCAAACCTGCTCTATGAAATGGAATGTTCAACTCTGTTACTTGAATGCAAACGTCACAAAGTAGATTCTCAGACTGCTGCAATCTGCTTTTTATATGTATTCCCTTTTCCAACGAAATCCTCAAAGCTAGCCAAATATCCTCATGCAGATTCTACAAAAAGAGTGTTTGAAAACTGCTCTATGAAAAGAAAGGTTCAACTCTGTTAGTAGAGGGCACATATCACAAACAAGTTTCTGAGAATGCTTTTGTCTAGTTTTCATGGGAAGATATTACCTTTCTCAACATAGGCCTGAAAGCGCTCCAAGTGTCCACTTCCAGATACAGCAAACGGAGTGTTTCAAACCTGCTCTATGAAAGGGAATGATCAACTCTGTGACTTGAATACAAACATCACAAACATGTTTCTCAGAACGCTGCTGTCTGCTTTTTATATGTATTCCCGTTTCCAACGAAATCCACAAAGCTAGCCAAATATCCACTTGCAGATTCCACAAAAAGAGTGTTTCAAAACCGCTCTGTCAAAACAAAGGTTCAATTCTGTTAATTGAGTAAACACATCACAAGTAAGTTTCTGAGAATGCTACTGTCTAATTTTTATGGGAAGATATTTCCTTTTTCAAAAGAAGCCTGAATTCACTCCAAATGGACACTTCCAGATATGACAAAGGAGTGTTTCAAACCTGCTCTATGAAAGGGAATGTTCAACACTTTGACTTCAATGCAAACATCACAAAGAAGTTTCTCAGAAAGCTGCTGTCTGCTTTTTATATGTATGCCCGTTTCCAACGAAATCCTCAATGGCAGCCAAATATCCACTTGCAGATTCCACAAAAAGAGTGTTTCAAAACTGCTCTCTCAAAAGAAAGGTTCAACTGTGTTAGCTGAGGACACACATCACAAATAAGTATCTGAGAATGCTTCTGTCTAGTTTTTATTGGAAGATATTCCCCTTTTCACCCTAGGCCTGAAAGCGATCCAAATGTCCACTTCTAGATACTACAAAAAGAGTGTTTCCAACCTGCTCTATGAAAAGGAATGTTCAACTCTGTGACTTGAATGCAACCATCACAAGGATGTTTCTGAGAATGCTTCTGTCTAGATTTTATATGAAGATATTCCCGTTTCCAACGAAATCCTCACAGCTATCCAAATATCCACTTGCAGATTCTACAAAAAGAGTGTTTCAAAACTGCTCTATCAAACGAAACGTTCTACTCTGTTAGTTGAGGACACACATCACGAGTAAGTTCCTGAGAATGCTTCTGTCTAGTTTTTATGGGAAGATATTTCCTTTTTCACCTTAGGCCAGAAATCTCTCCAAATGTCCACTTCCAAACACTACAAAAAGAGTGTTTCAAATCTGCTCTATGAAAGGGAATGTTCAACTCTGTGACTTGAATACAAACATCACAAAGAAGTTTCTGAGAATGCTGCTGTCTGCTTTTCATATGTATTCCCTTTTCCAACGAAATCTTCAAAGCTGGCCTAGTATCCACTTGCAGATTCCAGAAAAATAGTGTTTCAAAACTGCTCTCTCAAAAGAAAACTTCAACTCTGTTAGCTGAGTAGATACATGATAAAAAAGTTTCTGACATTGCTTCTATCTAGTTTTTATTGGAAGATATTTCCTTTTTCACCGTAGTCCTGAAACCGCTTCAAATGTCCACTTCCAGATACTACAAAAGAGTGTTTAAAACCAGCTCCATGAAAGGGAATTTTCAACTCTGTGACTTGAATTGAAATATCCCAAAGAAGTTTCTGAGAATGCTTCTGTCTAGAGCTTATATGAAGACATTCCCGTTTCCAACGAAATCCTCAAAGCTAGCCAAATATCCACTTGGAGATTCCACAAAAAGAGTGTTTCAAAACTGCTCTCTCAAAAGAAATGTTCAACTCTGTTAGTTGAGGGCACACATCACAAATAAGTTTCTGAGAATGCTTCTATCTAGTTTTTATGGAAAGATATTTCCTTTTTTACCATAGGCCTGACAGCGCTCCATATATCCACTTCCAGATACTACAGAAGGAACATTTCATACCTCCTCTATGAAGGGAATGTTCAACTCTGTGACTTGAATGCAAACTTCTCAAAGAAATTTCTGAGAATTCTGCTGTGTGCTTTTTATATGTAATCCCGTTTCTAAAGAAATTCTCAAAGCTATCCAAATATCCACTTTCAGATTCCACAAAAAGAGTGTTTCAAAACTGTTCTGTCAAAAGAAATGTTCAACTCTGTTAGTTGAGGACACACATCAGAAACTAGTTTGTTGGAATGCTTCTGTCTAGTTTTTATGGGAAAATATTTCATTTTTCAACACAGGCCTGAAAGCTCTCCAAATATCCACTTCCAGATACTACAAAAAGAGTGTTTCAAACCTGCTCTATGAAAGGGAATTTTCTACTCTATGACTTGAATGCAAACATCACAAAGTAATTTCTGAGAATGCTGTTTTCTGCTTTTTACATATATTCCCGTTTCCAACGAAATCCTCAAAGCTATCCAAATATCCACTTGCTGATTCTACAAATAGAGTGTTTCAAAACAGCTCTATCAAAAGAAAGGTTCAACTCTGTTAGTTGAAGGTACTCATCAAAAATAAGTTTCTGAGAATGCTTCTGTCTAGTTTTTATGGAAAGATATTTCCTTTTTCAACATAGGCCTGAAAGCACTCCAAATGTCCACTTCTAGATACTATAAAAGGAGTGTTTCAAGCCTGCTCTATGAAAGGGAATGTTCAACTCTGTTACTTGAATGCAAACGTCACAAAGGAGATTCTCAGACCGCTGCAATCTGCTTTTTATATGTATTCCCGTTTCCAACGAAATTCTCAAAGCTAGCCAAATATCCCCTTGCAGATTCCACAAAAAGAGTGTTTCAAAACTGCTCTATCAAAAGAAAGGTTCAACTCTGTTAGTTGAGTAAATACAGCATAAACAAATTTCTGAGAATGCTTCTGTCTAGTTTTTATGGGAAGATATTTCCTTTTTCACCTTAGGCCTGAAAGTGCTCCAAATGTCCATTTTCACATATAACAAAAAGAGTGTTTCAAACCTGCTCTCTGAAAGGGAATGTTCAACTCTGTGACTTGAATGCAAACATCACAAAGACGTTTCTGAGAATCTTTCTGTATAGGTTTTGCATGAATACATTACCATTTCCAAGGAAATCCTCAAAGCTAGCCAAATATCCACTTGGAGATTCCATAAAAAGAGTGTTTCAAAACTGCTCTATCAAAAGAAATGTTCAACTCTATTAGTTGAGTAGATGCATCATAAACAAGTTTCTGAGAATGCTTCTGTCTAGTTTTTATGGGAAGATATTTCTTTTTTCAACATAGGCCTGAAAGCGCTCCAAATGTCCACTTCCAGATACTACAAAAGGAGTGTTTCAAACCTGCTCTATGAAAGGGAGTGTTCATCTCTGTGACTTGAGTGCAAACATCACAAAGAATTTTCTCAGAACGCTACTTTCTGCTTTTAATATGTATTCCCGTTTCCAACGAAATCCTCAAATCCAGCCAAATATCCAGTTGCAGATTACACAAAAGGAGTGTTTCAAAACTACTCTATCAAAAGAAATGTTGAACTCTGTTAGTTGAGGGCACACATCGCAAATAAGTTTCTGAGAATGCTTCTGTCTAGTTTTTATGGGAAGATATTTCCTTTTTCAACATAGGCCTGAAAGCGCTCCAAATGTCCACTTCCAGATACTACAAAAGGAGTGTTTCAAACCTCCTCTATGAAAGGGAATTTTCAACTCTGTGACTTGAATGAAAATATCACAAATAATTTGCTCAGAACGCTGCTGTCTGCTTTTTAAATGTATTCCCGTATCCAACGAAATCCTCAAAGCTAGCCAAATATCCACTTGGAGATTCCACAAAAAGAGTGTTTCAAAACTGCTCTATCAAATGAAATGTTCAACTCTGTTAGTTGAGTAGATGCATCATAAACTAGTTTCAGAGAATGCTTCTGTCTAGTTTTTATAGGAAGATATTTCCTTTTTCACCTTAGGTCGGAAAGCGTTCCAAATGTCCATTTTCAGATACTACAAAAGGAGTGTTTCAAACCTGCTCTATGAAAGGGAGTGTTCAGCTCTGTGACTTGAATGCAAACATCACAAAGAAGATTCTCAGAACGCTGTTATCTGCTTTTTATATGTATTCCCGTTTCCAACGAAATCCACAAACCTAGCCAAATATTCACTTGCAGATTGTACAAAAAGAGAGTTTGAAAACTGCTCTGTCAAAACAAAGGTTCAACTCTGTTAGTTGAGTACACACATCAGAAATAAGTTTCTGAGAATGTTTCTGTCTAGTTTTTATGGGAAGATATTTCTTTTTCCCACAGGCCTGAAAGCGCTACAAATGTCCACTTCCTGATTCTACAAAAGAGTGTTTCAAACCTGCTGTATGAAAGGGAATGTTGAATTCCGTGACTTGAATGCAAACATTACAAGGAAGTTTCTGAGATTGCTTCTGTCTAGATTTTATATGAAGATATTCCCGTTTCCAACGAAATCCTCAAACTATCCAAATATCCACTTGCAGACACTGCAAAAAGAGTGTTTCAAAACTGCTCTATGAAAATAAAGGTTCAACTCTGTTAGTTGAGGAAACAGATCACGAATAAATTTCTGAGAATGCTTCTCTCTAGTTTTTATGGGAAGATATTCCCTTTTTCACCATAGGCCTGAAAGCGCTCCAAAGGTCCACTTCCAGATACTACAAAAAGAGTGTTTCAAACCTGCTATGAAGGGGAATGTTCAACTCTGTGACTTGAATGGAAACATCACAAGGAAGTTTCTGAGAATGCTTCTGTCTAGATTTTTTATGAAGGTATTCCCGTTTCCAACGAAATCCTCAATCTATCCAAATATCCACTAGCAGATTCTACAAAATGAGTGTTTCAAAACTGCTCTATCAAAAGAAAAGTTCAACTCAGTTTGTTGAGGGTACTCATCACAAATACGTTTCTGAGAATGCTTCTGTCTAGTTTTTATGGGAAGATATTTCCGTTTTCAACTTTGGCCTGAATGCGCTCCAAATGTCCACTTCCAGATAGTATAAAAGGAGTGTTTCAAACCTGCTCGATGAAAGGGAATGTTCAACTCTGTGACTTGAATGCAAACATCACAAAGAAGATTCTCAGGCCGCTGCAATCTGCTTTTTATATGTATCGCCTTTTCCAACGATATCCTCAAAACTAGCCAAATATCCACTTGCAGATTCCATAAAAACAGTGTTTCAAAACTGCTCTATCAAAAGAAAGGTTCAACTCTGTTAGTTGAGTAGATACATCATAAATAAGTTTCTGAGATTGCTTCTATCTAGTTTTGATGGAAGATATTTCCTTTTTCACCAAAGGCTTCAGAGCACTCCAAATGTCCACTTCCAAATACTACCAAAAGAGTGTTTCAAACTTGCTCTATGAAAGGAAATGTTCAAATCTATGACTTGAATGCAAACATCACAAAGAAGTTTCTGACAATGCTGCTGTGTAATTTTATATGTATTCCCATTTCCAATGAGATCCTCAAAGGTAGCCAAACAGCCTCTTGCAGATTCTACAAAAAGAGTGTCTCAAAACTGCTCTGTCAAAAGAATGGTTCCACCCTGTTAGTTGAGTACACACATCACAAAGTAGTTTCTGAGAATATTTCTGTATAGTTCTTATGGGAAGATATTTTCTTTTTCACCAGAGGCCTGAAAGCCCTCCAAATGTCCACTTCCAGATACTACAAAAAGAGTGTTTCAAACCTGCTCTATGAAAGGGAATATTCACCTCTGTGACTTGAATGCAAACATCAGAACGTCGTTTCCGAAAAACGTTCTGTCTAGATTTTTTATGAAGACATTACCGTTTCCAACGAAATCCTCAAAGCTAGCCAAATATCCACTTGGAGATTCCACAAAAAGAGTGCTTCAAAACTGCTGTGTCAAAAGAAATGTTCAAGCCTGTTATGTGAGGACACACATCACTAATAAGTTTCTGAGAGTGCTTCTGTCTAGTTTTTATGGGAAGATATTTACTTTGTCACCATAGGCTTGAAAGAGCTCCAAATGTCCACTTCCAGATAGTAGAAAAAGAGTGTTTCATGCCTGCTCTATGAAAAGGAATGTTCAACTCTGTGACTTGAATGCAAACATCGCAAAGAAATTTCTGAGAATGCTTCTGTCTAGATTTCATGTGAAGATATTCCCGTTTCCAACGAAATCCTCAAAGCTATCCAAATGTCCACTTGCAGATTCTACAAAAAGAGTGTTTCAAAACTGCTCTATCAAAAGAAAGGTTCTACTCTGTTAGTTGAGGACACACAGCACGAATAAGTTTCTGAGAATGCTTCTATCTTGTTTTTATGGGAAGACATTTCCTTTTTCACCATAGGCCTCAAAGCGCTCCAAATGTCCACTTCCAGGGAATGGAAAAAGAGTGTTTCCAACCTGCTCTATGAAAGCGAATGTTCAACTCCATGACTTGAATGCAACCATCACAAGGAAGTTTCTGAGAATGCTTCTGTCTAGATTTTATATGAAGATATTCCCGTTTCCAACGAAATCCTCAAAGCTATCCAAATATCCATTTGCAGATTCTACAAAAAGAGTGTTTCAAAATTGCTCTCTCAAAAGAAATGTTCAAATCTGTTAGTTGAGGACACACATAACAAATAAGTTTCTGAGAATGCTTCTGTCTGGTTTTTATGGGAAGATATATCCTTTATCAACACAAGCCTGAACGAGCTCCAAATGGACACTTCCAGATATGACAAAAGGAGTTTTTCAAACCTGCTCTATGAAAGGGAATGTTCAACTCTGTGACTTGAATGCAACATCACAAAGAAGATTCTCAGAACGCTACTGTCTGCTTTTTATATGTATTCCCGTTTCCAACGAAATCCTCATAGCCAGCCAAATATCCAGTTGCAGATTCCACAAAAGGAGTGTTTCAAAACTACTCTATCAAAAGAAATGTTAAACTCTGTTAGTTGAGGGCACACATCACAAATAAGTTTCTGAGAATGCTTCTGTCTAGTTTTTATGGGAAGATATTACCTTTCTCAACATAGGCCTGAAAGCGCTCCAAATGTCCACTTCCAGATACTACAAAAGGAGTGTTTCAATCCGGCTCTATTAAAGGGAATTTTCAACTCTGTGACTTGAATGAAAATATCACAAAGAAGTTGCTCAGAACACTGCTGTCTGCTTTTTAAATGTATTCCCGTTTCCAACGATATCCTTAAAGCTAGCCAAATATCCTCTTGGATATTCCACAAAAAGAGTGTTTCAAAACTGCTCTATCAAAGAAATGTTCAACTCTGTTAGTTGAGTAGATGCATCATAAACAAGTTTCTGAGAATGCTTCTGTCTAGTTTTTATGGGAAAATATTTCCTTTTTCAACATAGGCCTGAAAGCGCTCCAAATGTCCACTTGCGGATACTACAAAAGTAGTGTTTCAAACCTGCTCTATGAAAGGGAATTTTCAACTCTGTGACTTGAATGAAAATATCACAAAGATGTTGCTCAGAATGCTGCTGTCTGCTTTTTAAATGTATTCCCGTTTCCAACGAAATCCTCAAAGCTAGCCAAATATCCACTTGAAGATTCCACAAAAAGAGTGTTTCAAAACTCCTCTCTCAAAAGAAATGTTCAACCCGGTTAG
>NC_000020.11:26348390-26364240 GCF_000001405.40 Homo sapiens | reverse complement strand
TTGTCTGCTTTTTTATGTATTCCCGTTTCCAGCGAAATCCTCATTGCCAGCCAAATATCCAGTTGCAGATTCCACAAAAAGAGTGTTTCAAAACTGCTGTATCAAAAGTTATGTTCAAGTCACCTAGTTGAGGACACACATCAGAAATTAGTTAATGAGAATGTTTCTGTCTAGTTTTTATGGGAAGATATTTACTTTATCACCTTAGGCTTGAAAGCGCTCCAAATGGCCACTTCCAGATAGTAGAAAAAGAGTGTTTCAAGTCTACTCAATGAAAAGGAATGTTCAACACTGTGACTTGAATGGAAACATCACAAAGAAGTTTCCTAGAATCCTTCTGTCTAGATTATATAGGAAGACATTCCTTTTTCCAACGAAATCCTCAAAACTAGCCAAATATCCACTTGCAGATTCCACACAAAGAGGGTTTCAAAACTGCTCTATCCAGAGAAAGGTTCAAATCTGTTAGTTGAGTAGATACATCATAAATCAGTTTCTGAGATTGCTTTTATCTAGTTTTGTGAGAAGATATTTATCTTTTCACCAAAGGCTTCAGAGCGCTCTAAATGACCACTTCCAGATACTACAAAAAGAGTGTATCAAACTTGCTCTATGAAAGGGAATGTTCAACTCTATGACTTGAATGCAAACATCACAAAGAAGTTTCTGACAATGCTGCTGTCTAGTTGTATATATATTCCCGTTTCCAATGAAATCCTCAAAGCTAGCCAAATATTGACTTGCAGATTTTACAAAAAGAGTTTTTCAAAACTGCTCTGACAAAAGAATGGTTCAACTCTGTTAGTTGAGTACACACATCACAAAGTAGTTTCTGAGAATATTTCTGTCTAGTTTTTATGGGAAGATATTTCCTTTTTCACCATAGGCCTGAAAGCGCTCCAAATGTCCACTTCCAGATATTAGAGAAAGAGTGTTTCAAACCTGCTCTTTGAAAGGGAATGTTCAAATCTGTGACTTGAATGTAAACATCACAAAGACGTTTCCGAGAATCCTTCTTTCTAGATTTTTATGAAGACATTACCGTTTCCAATGATCTCCTCAAAGTTCGCCAATTATCCACTTGGAGATTCCACAAAAAGAGTGCTTCAAAACTGCTCTTTCAAAAGAAATGTTCAAGTCTGTTAGTTGAGGACATAGATCACAAATAAGTTTATAAGAGTGCTTCTGTCTAATTTTTATGGGAAGATATTTACTTTATCACCTTAGGCTTGAAAGCTCTCCAAATGTCCACTTCCAGATACTAGAAAAAGAGTGTTTGAAGCCTGCTCTATGAAAAGGAATGTTCAACTCGGTGACTTGAATTCAAACATCGCAAAGAAGTTTCTGAGCATACTTCTGTCTAGATTTTATATGAAGATATTCCCGTTTCCAACGAAATCCTCAAAGCTATCCAAATATCCACTTGCAGATTCTACAAAAAGGGTGTTTCAAAACTCCTCTATCAAAAGAATAGTTCAACTCTGTTAGTTGAGGACACACTTCAAAAATAAGTTTCTGAGAATGCTTCTGTCTAGTTTTTATTGGAAGATATTTCCTTTTTCCCGTAGGCCTGAAAGCGCTCCAAATGTCCACTTCCACATACTACAAAAAGAGTTTTTCAAACCTGCTCTATGAAGGGGAATGTTCAACTCTGTGACTTGAATGCAAACATCACAAGGAAGTTTCTGAGAATGCTTCTGTCTAGATTTTATATGACGTTATTCCCGTTTCCACGAAATGCTCAAATCTATCCAAATATCCACTTGCAGGTTCTACAAAAAGAGTGTTTCAAAACTGATCTATGAAAAGAAAGGTTCAGCTCTGTTTGTTGAGGACCCACATCACAAACATGATTCAGAGAATGCTTCTATCTAGTTTTTATTGGAAGATATTTCCTTTTTCAGCATAGACCTCAAAGCGCTCTAATTGTCCACTTTCAGACACTACAAAAAGAGTGTTTCAAACCTGCTCTGTGAAAGAGAATGTTCAACTCTGTGACTTGAATGGAATCTTCACAAAGATGTTTCTCAGAATGTTTCTGTCTAGATTTTATATGAAGATATTCCCGTTTCCAACGATATCCTCAAAGCTATCCAAATATCCACTTGCAGATACTACGAAAAGAGTGTTTCAAAAGTGGTCTATCAAAAGATAGGTTCAACTCTGTTAGTTGAGTACACACATCACAAACAACTTTCTGAGAATGTTTCTGTCTAGTTTTTATGGGAAGATATTTCCTTTTCCAACATAGTCCTGAAAGCGCTACAAATGTCCACTCCCAGATCCTACAAAAGGAGTGTTTCAAACCTGCCCTATGAAAGGGAATGTTCAACTCTGTGACTTGAATGGAAACATCACAAAGATTTTCTCAGAATTCTTCTGTCAGGATTGTATATGAAGATATTACCGTTTACAACGCAATCCTCAAATCTATCCAAATATCCACTTGCAGATTCTACAAAAAGAGTGTTTCAAAACTCTTCTATCAAAAGGAAGATTCAACACTGTTAGTTGAGAACACACATGACACACAAGTTTCTGAGAATGCTTCTGTCTAGTTTTCATGGGAAGATATTTCCTTTTTCACCATAGGCTTCATAACGCTACAAATATGCACTTCCAGATAGTACAAAAATGTGTTTCAAACCTGCTCTATGAAACGGAACGTTCAACTCTGTGACTTGAATGCAGACATCACAAAGAAGTTTCTGAGAATGCTTCTGTCTGGATTTCTATGAAGATATGCCCATTTCCATCGAAATCCTCAAAGCCATCCGAATATCCACTTGCAGCTTCTACAAAAAAGAGGGTTTCGCAATTACTGTATCAAAAGAAAGGTTCAAATCAGTTAGTTGAATACACACATCACAAACATGTTTCTGAGAATGCTTCGGTCTAGTTTTTAGGGGAAGATATTTCCTTTTTCACCATAAGCTTGGAAGCGCTCCAAATGTCCACTTCCATATACTACAAAAAGAGATTTTCAAACCTGCTCTATGAAGGGGAATTTTCAAATCTGTGACTTGAATGCAAAGATCACAAAGATGTTTCTGAGAATGCTGCTGTCTAATTTTTATGTGTATTCCCGTTTCCAACGAAATCCTCAAAGCTATTGAAATATCCACTTGCAGAATCTCCAAAAAGAGTGTTTCAAAACTGCTGTAGCAAAAGAAAGTTTCAAGTCTGTTAGTTGAGGACAGACATCAAAAATATGTTTATGAGAATGGTTCTGTCTAGTTTTTATGGGAAGATATTTCCTTTTTGACCATAGGCTTCAAAGCCCTCCAAATGTCCACTTCCACATAGTACAATTATTGTGTTTCAAACCTGCTCTATGAAAGGGAACATTCAACTCTGTGACTTGAATGCAGACATTAGAAAGATGTTTCTGAGAATGCTTCTTTCTAGATTTTATAAGAAGATATGCCCGTTTCCATCGAAATCCTCAAAGCTATCAAAATATCCATTTGCAGCTTCTACAAAAAAAGGGTTTCGAAACTCCTCTGTCAAAAGAAAGTTTGAACTCTCTTAGTTGAGTACAAACATCACCAACAACTTTGTGAGAATGCTTCTGACTAGCTTTTAGGGGAAGATATTTCCTTTTTCACCATAGGCTTGGAAGCGCTACAAACGTCCACTTCCAGATACTTCAAAATGAGTGTTTCAAACCTGCTCTATGAAAGGGAATGTTCAACTCTTTGACTTGAATGTAAACATCACAAAGAAGTTTCTGAGATTGCTGTTGTCTATTTTTTATTTATTCCCGTTTCCAACGAAAACCTCAAAGCTATCCAAATATCCATTGCAGATTCCACAAAAAGAGTGTTTCAAAACTGCTCTATCAATAGAAAGCTTCAACTATATTAGTTGAGTAGATATATCATTAACAAGTTTCTGAGATTGGTTCTAACTAGTTTTTTTCGGAAGATATATCCTTTTGCACCATAGGCCAGAAAGCGCTCCAAATGTCCACTTCCAGATACTACAAAAAGATTGTTTCAAACCTGCTCTATGAAAGGGAATGTTCAACTCTGTGACTTGAATGCAAACATCCCAAAGGTGTTTCCGGGAATGCTTCTGTCTAGATTTTGTATGTAGATATTCCCGTTTCCAACGAAATCCTCAAAGCTATCCACATATCCACTTGCAGATTCTACAAAAAGAGTGTTTCAAAAGTGCTCTATCAAAAGAAAGCTTCAACTCTGTTCGTTGAGTACACACAACACAAACGTGATTCTGAGCATGCTTCTGTCTAGTTTTTATGGGAAGATATTTCCTTTTTCCCCATAGGCCTCAAAGTTCTCCAAATATCCACTTCCACATACTAAAAAAAAAAAGAGTGCTTCAAACCTGCTCTAAGAAAGGGAATGTTGAAATCTGTGACTTGAATGTAGACATCACAAAGAAGTTTCTTAGAATGCATCTTTCTAGATTTTCTATGAAGACATTCCCGTTTACAGCGAAATCCTCAAAGCTATCCAAATATCCACTTGCAGATTCTACAAAAAGAGTGTTTCAATAGTGCTCTATCAAAAGGAAGGGTCAACTCTGTTAGTTGAGTACACACATCACAAACATGATTCTAAGAATGCTTCTGTCTAGTTTTTATGGGAAGATATTTCCTTTTTCACAATAGGCCTCAAAGCGCTCTAAATGTCCACTTCCAGATACCACAAAAAGAGTGTTTTAAACCTGCTCTATGAAAGGGAATGTTCAACTCTGTGACTTGAATGGAAACATCACAAAGATGTTGCTCTGAATACTTCTGTCAATATTTTACATGAAGAAATTCCCGTTTCCAACGAAATCCTCAAAGCTATCCAAATATCGACTAGCAGATTATACAAAAAGAATTTTTCAAAACTGCTCTGTCAAAAGAAAGGTTCAACTCTGTTAGTTCACGACACATATCACAAATATGTTTCTGAGAATGCTTCTGTCTAGTTTTTATGGGAAGATATTTCCTTTTTCACCTTAGGCCGGAAAGCGCTCCAAATGTCCACTTTCAGATACTACAAAATTAGTGTTTCAAACCTGCTCTATGAAAGGGAATGTTCATCTCTGTGACTTGAATTCAAACATCACAAAGAAGTTTCTGACAATGTTGTTGTCTACTTTTTATATGTATGCCCATTTCCAACGAAATCGTCAAAGCTATCTAGATATCCACTTGCAGATTCCACAAAAAGTGTGTTTCAAATCGGCTCAATCAATAGAAAGGTTCAACTCTGTTAGTTGTGTATATCCATCATAAACACGTTTCTGAGATTGTTTCTATCTCCTTTTTATGGGAAGATATTTCCTTTTTCACCATAGACCTCAAAGTTCACGAAATGTCCACTTCAAGATATTACAAAAATGGTGGCTCAAATCTGATCTATGAAAGAGTATGTTCAACTGTGTGACATGAAGGCAAACATCACAAAGGTGTTTCTGAGAATGCTTCTGTCTAGATTTTCTATGAAGAGAAACCGGTTTCCAACGAAAACCTGAAAGCTGTCCAAATATCCATTTGCAGATTCCTCAAAAAGAGTGTTTCAAAAGCGCTCTGTCAATAGAAAATTTCAACTCTGTTAGATTTTTAGATACATCATAAACAAGTTTCTGAGATTGCTTCTGTCTAGTTTTTATGGGAAGATATCTCCTTTTTCACCATAGGCCTTGAAGCACTCCAAATGTCCACTTCCAGATACTACAAAAAGTGTGTTTCAAACCTGCTCTATGAAAGGGAATGTTCAAATCTGTGACATGAATGCAAACATCACAAAGGTGTTTCTGAGAATGCTTCTGTCTAGATTTTCTATGAAGACATTCCCGTTTCCAACGAAATCCTCAAAGCTATCAAAATATCCACTTGCAGATTCTACAAAAAGAGTGTTTCGAAAGTGCTCTATCAAAAGAAATGTTCAACTGTGTTAGTTGAGTACACACATCACAAACATGATTCTGAGAATGCTTCTGTCTATTTTTTATGGGAAGATAATTCCTTTTCCACCGTAGGTCTCAAAGCGCTCGAAATGTCCACTTCCAAATACTACAGAAAGAGTGTTTCAAACCTGCTCTGTGAAAGAAAATGTTCAACTCTGTAACTTGAATGCAAACATCACAAAGAAGTTTCTGAGAATTTTGCTATCTACTTTTTATATGTATTCCAGTTTCCAACGAAATCCTCAAAGCTCTCCAAATATCCACTTGCAGATTCTCCAAAAAGAGTGTTTCAAAACTGCTCTATCAACAGAGAGGTTCAACTCTGTTAGTTGAATATATACAACATAAAGAAGTTTTTAGAATGCTTCTGTCTAGTTTTCATGGGAAGATATTTCCTTTTTCACCATATGCATCAAAGCGCTCCAAATGTGCACTTCCAGATACTACAAAAAGGGTGTTTTAAACGTGCTCTCTGAAAGGGAATGTTCAACTTTGTGACTTGAATGCAGACATCACAAAGAAGTTTCTGAGAATGCTTCAGTCTAGATTTTATATTTCGTTATTCCTGTTTCCAAAGAAATCCTCAAAGCTATCAAAATATCAACTTGCGGATTCCACAAAAAGAATGTTTTGAAAGTGCTCTATCAATAGAAAGTTTCAACTCTTTTAGATGATTAGACACATCATAAACAAGTTTCTGAGATTGCTTCTATCTACTTTTTATGGGAAGTTATTTCCTCTTACACCATAGTCCTCGAAGCGCTCCAAATGCCCACTTCCAGATTCTACAGAAAGAGTGTTTCAAACCTGCTCTTTGAAAGGGAATGTTCAACTCTGTGACTTGAGTGCAAACATCACAAAGGTGTTTCTGAGAATGCTTCCATCTAGATTTTCTATGAAGACATTCCCGTTTCCAACGAAACCATCAAAGCTATCCAAATATCCATTGCAGATTCTACAAAAAGAGTGTTTCAAATGTCCTCTATCAAAAGAAAGGTTCAACTCTGTTAGTTGAGTGCACATATCACAAACATGACTCTGCGAATGGTTCCATCTATTTTTTAAGGGAAGATAATTACTTTTTCACTGTATGCCCCAAAGCGCTCGAAATGTCCACTTCCAGAAATTACAGAAAGAGTGTTTCAAACCTGCTCTGTGAAAGGGAATGCTGAACCCTGTGACTTGAATGTACACATCACAAAGTTGTTTCTCAGAGTGCTTCTATCTAGATTTTATATGAAGCTATTCCCGTTTCCAACGAAATCCTCACAGCTATCCAAATATCCACTTGCAGATTCTACAAAAAGTGTGTTTACAAACTCTGTCAAAAGAAAGTTTCAACCCTGTTAGTTGAGTATACACATCCCAAACAAGTTTCTGAGAATGCTTCTGTCTTGGTTTTTATGGGAAGATATTTCCTTTTTCACCATAGGCGTAAAAGCGCTCCAAATGTCCAATTCCAGATACTTCAAAAAGACTGATTTAAATCTGCTCTATGAAAGGGAATGTTCAACTCTGTGACTTGAATGCAGACATCACAAAGAAGTTTCTGAAAATGCTTCTGTCTAGATTTTACATGAAGATATTCCCATTTCCAACGAAATCCTCAAAGCTATCCAAATATCCACTTGCATCTTCTTCAAAAAGAGTGTTTCTAAACTGCTCTGTCAAAAGAAAGGTAAAACTCTGTTAGTTGAGAACACACATCACAAACAAGTTTCTGAGAATGTTTCTGTCTAGTCTTTATGGGAAGATATTTCCTTTTTCACGATAGGCCTCAAACAGCTCCAAATGTCCACTTCCAGATAATACAAAAAGAGTGTGTCAAACCTGCTCTGTAAAAGGAAATGTTCAACTCTGTGCCTTGAATGCAAACATCACAAAGATGTTTCTCAGAATGCTTCTGTCTAGATTTTATATGAAGATATTCCCGTATCCAACGAAATCCTCAAAGCTATCCAAATATCCACTTGCAGATTCTACAAAAACAGTGTTTCAAAACTGCTCTACGAAAAAGAAAAGTTAAACTCTGTGAGTTGAGTACACACAACCCAACAAAGTTTCTGAGAATTCTTCTGCCTATTTTTTATGGGAAGATATTTCCATTTTGACCATAGGCCTCAAAGCGCTCCAAGTTTCCACCTACAGATTCTAGAAAAAGAGTGTTTCATAACTGCTCTATGAAAAGGAATATTTAACTCTTTAAGTTGAATGCAAGCATCACAAAGAAGTTTCTGAGAATGCTACTGTCTACTTTTTATGTGAAGATATTCCCGTTTCCAACGAAAGCCTCAAAGCTATACAAATATCCCCTTGCGGATTCAATAAAAGAGTGTTTCAAACTGCTTTATCAAAAGAAAGTTTCAACTCTGTTAGTTGAGTACACACATCACAAAGAAGTTTCCGAGAATATTTCTGTCTGCTTTTTATGGGAAGATATTTCTTTTTTCACCATAGGTCTCATATCGCTACAAATGTCCACGTGCAGATTCTTCAAAAAGAGTGTTTCAAAACTGCTCTACGGAAAGGAATGTTCAACTCTGTGAGTTGAATGCAAACATCACAAAGATTTTTCCGGGAGTCCTTCTCTCTAGTTTTATGTGAAGATATCCCCTTTTCCAACGAAGACTCAAAGCTATCCAAATATCCACTTGCAGATTCTACAAAAGGAGTGCTTTAAATGTGCTGTATCAAAAGAAAGGTTCAACTCTGTGAGTTGAGTACACACATCACAAAGAAGTTTCTGAGAATGCTCCTGTGTAGTTTTTATGTGAAGATATTTGGTTTTTCACCATAGGCTTCAAAGCGCTCCAAATATCCACTTCCAGATACTGCAGAAAGAGTGTTTCCAAACTGCTCAATGAATGGGAATGTTAAACTCTGTGAGTTGAATGCAAACATCACAAAGAAGTTTCTGAGAATGCTTCTGTCTAGATTTCATATGAAGATATTCCCGTTTCCAGTGAAATCCTCAAAGCTATCCAAATATCCATTGGCAGATTCTACAAAAACAGTGTTTCAAAACTGCTCGATCAAAAGAAAGGTTCAACCCTGTTTTTTGAGAACACACATCACAAACAAGTCTCTGAGAATGCTTCTGTCTAGTTTTTATGGGAAGATATTTCCTTTTTCACCGTAGGCTTCAAAGCGCCTCAAATGTAGACTTCCAGATACTACAAAAAGAGTATTTCAAAACTGCTCTATGAAAGGGAATGTTCAACTCTGTGACTTCAATGGAAACATCACAAAGTCGTTTCTGAGAATGCTTCTGTCTAGTTTTGATGTGAAGATATTCCCGTTTACAACGAAATCCTCAAAGCTATCCAAATATCCACTTGCAGATTCTACAATAAGAGTGTTTCAAAACTTCTCTATCAAAAGCAAAGTAAAACTCTGTGAGTTGAGTATACACATTACAAAGGAGTTTCTGAGAATTCTTCTCTCTAGTTTTTATGAGAAGATGTTTCCTTTTTCACCATAGGCCTCAAAGCGCTCCTATTTTCCACTTACTGATTCAAGAAAGAGAGTGTTTAAAAACTGCTCTATGAAAAGGAATGTTCAACAATGTGAGTTGAATGCAAGCATCACAATGAAGTTTCAGAGAATGCTTCTGTCTAGCTTTTATGTGAAGATATACTCGTTTCAGCAAAGGTCACAAAGCTGTGCAAATATGCAAATATCCACTTGCAAATACTACAAAAAGATTGTTTCCAATCTGCTCTATTGAAAGAAAGTTTCCACTCTGTGAGATGAATGCACACATCACAAAGAAGTTTCTGAGACTGCTTCTGTCTAATTGTATGTGAAGATATTCCCGTTTCCAACGATATCTTCAACGCTGTCTTAATATCCACTTGTAAATTCTACAAGGAGAGTGTTTCAAAACTGCTGTATCAAAGGAAATTTTTAACTCTGTGAGTTGAGTACACATATCACAAAGTAGTTTCTGAGAATGTTTGTGTCTGCTTTTTATGTGAAGATAGATATTTCATTTTTCTTCATAGGTCTCAAATCACTCCAAATGTACACGTGCAGATTCTTGAAAAAGAGTGTTTCAAAACTGCTCTATGAAAAGGAATGTTCAACTCTGCGAGTTGAATGCAAACAACACAAAGAAGTTTCCGGGAATTCTTCTCTCTAATTTTTAAGTGAAGATATTCACATTTCCAACAAAAGCCTTAAAGCTATGCAAATATCCACTTGCAGATTCTACAAAAAGAGGGTTTCAAAACTGCTGTATGAAAAGAAAGGTTCAACTCTGTGAGTTGAGTACAGACATCACAAAGAAGTTTCTCAGAATGCTCCTGTATAGTTTTTATGTGAAGATATTTGGTTTTTCACCATAGGCCTCTAAGCGCTCCAAATGTCCACTTCCAGATACTACAAAAAGAGTGTTTCAAACCTTCTCTACGAAAGGGAATGTTCTCCTCTGTGACTTGAATGCAAACATCCCAAAGAAGTTTCTGAGAATGCTTCTGTCTGGATTTTATCTGAAGACAATCCCGTTTCCAACGAAATCCTCAAAGCTATGCAAATATCCTCCTGCAGATTCTACAAAAAGAGTGTTTCAAACTGCTCTATGAAAAGAAAGGTTCAACTCTGTTAGTAGAGGGCACACATCACAAACAAGTTTCTGAGAATGCTTCTGTCTAGTTTTTATGGGAAGATATTTCCTTTTTCACCATTGGCCCCAAAGCGCTCCAAAAGTCCACTTCCAGATACTACAAAGAGAGTGTTTGGAAACTGCTCTACAAAAGGGAATGTTCAACACTATGACTTGAATGGAATCATCACAAAGAAGTTTCTGGGAATGCTTCTGTCTAGTTTTTATATGAAGATATTCCTGTTTACAACGAAATCCTCAAAGCTATCCAAATATCCACTGGCAGATTCTACAAAAAGAGTGCTTCAAAACTGCTGTATCAAAAGAAAGGTTCAACTCTGTGAGTTGAGTACACACATCACAAACAAGTTTCTGAGAATGCTTCTGTCTAGTTTTATGGGAAGATATTTCCTTTTTCAACATAGGCCTCAAAGCGCTCCAAATGTCCACTTCCAGATACTACAAAAAGATTGTTTCAAAACTGCTCTATGAAGAGGAATGTGCACCTCTGTGACTTGAATGGAAACATCACAAAGTAGTTTCTGAGAATGCTTCTGTCTAGTTTTTATGTGAAGATATTCCCTTTTCCAACGAAATCCTCAAATCTATCCAAATAACCACTTGCAGATACTACAAAAACAGCGTTTCAAAACTGCTCTATCAAAAGAAAAGTTCAACTCTGTGAGTTGAGTACACACATCACAAAAAAGTTTCTGAGAATTCTTCTGTCTAGTTTCCTTTTTCACCATAGGCCTCGAAGTGCTCCAAGTTTCCACTTACAGATCCTACAAAAAGAGTGTTTCAAAACTGCTCTACGAAAAGGAATGTTCAACACTGTGAGTTGAATGCAAGCAACACAAATAAATTTCTGAGAATGCTTCTATCTAGTTTTTATGTGACGATATACATACTTCCAGCAAAGTCCTCAAAGCTGTCCAAAGATCCACTTGCAAATTCTACAAAAAGAGTGTTTCCAACCTACTCTATCAAAAGAAAGTTTCAGCTCTTCAAGTTGAATGCACACATCACAAAGTAGTTTCTGAGAATGCTTCTGTCTAGTTTTATGTGAAGATATTCCCGTTTGCAACGCAATCCTCAATGCTGTCCTAATATCCACTTCTAAATTCTACAAGAAGAGTGTTCCCAAACTGCTCTATCAAAGGAAATGTTTAATGCTGTGAGTTGAGTACACACATCACAAAGCATTTTAAGAGAAGGTTTCTGTCTGTTTTTATGTGAAGATATTTCCTTTTTCACCATAGGTCTCAAATCGCTTAAAATATCCACTTGAAGATCCTTCAAAAAGAGTGTTTCAAAACTGCTCTATGAAAAGGAATCTTCAACTCTGTGAGTAGAATGCAAACATCACAAAGATGTTTCTGCGTATGACTCTCACTAGTTTTTCTGTAAAGGTATTCCCGTTTCCAATGAAATGCACAAAGCTATCCAAATATCCACTTGCAGATTCTACAAAAAGAGTGTTTCAAAACTACTGTATCAAAGGAAAGGTTCAACTCTGTGAGTTGAGTACACACACCACAAAGGAGTTTCTGAGAGTGCTCCTGTCTAGTTTTTATGTGAAAATATTTCGTTTTTCACCATATGCCTCAAAGCGCTCAAAATGTCCACTTCCATACACTACAAAAGAGTGTTTCAAAACTGCCCTATGAAAGGGAATGTTCATCTCTGTGACATGAATGCAAACATCATATAGAAGTTTCTGAGAATGCTTCTGTCTAGATTTTATAAGAAGATATTATCACTTCCAACGAAATCCTCAAAGCTATCCAAATATCCACTTGCAGATTCTCCAAAAAGAGTGTTTCAAATCTGCTCCATCAAAAGAAAAATTCATCTCTGTGAGTTGAGTGCACACATCACAAAGAAGTTTCTGAGAATTCTCCTGTCTGCTTTTTATGTGAAGATATTTCCTTTTTCACCATATGTCTCAAATCGCTCCAAATGTCCACGTGCAGATTCTTGAAAAATAGTGTTTCAAAACTGCTCTATGAAAAGGAGTGTTCAACTCTGTGAGTTGAATGCAAACATCACAAGGAAGTTTCCTAGAATGCTTCTTTCTAGTTTTTATGTGAAGATATTCCCGTTTCCAACGAAAGCCTCAAAAGTATCCAAATATCCACTTGCAGATTCTACAAAAGGAGTGTTTCAAAACTGCTGTATCAAAAGAAAGTTTCAACACTGTGAGTTGAGTACACACATCACAAAGAAGTTTCTGAGAATGCTCCTGTCTAGTTTTTATGTGAAGACTTTTTTTTCACCGTAGGCTTCAAAGCGCTCAAAATGTCCACTTCCAGATACTACAAAAAGAGTGTTTCAAAACTGCTCTATGAAAGGGAATGTTCAACTCTGTGACTTGAATTCAAACATCACAAAGAAGTTTCTGAGAATGCTTCTGTCTAGTTTTTATGTGAAGATATAACCATTTCCAGCGAAGGTCTCAAATCTGTCAAAATATCCCCTTACGGATTCAATAAAATGAGTGTTTCAAAACTGCTGTATCAAAAGAAATGTTTAACACTGTGATTTGAGTACACGCATCACAAAGTAGTTTCTGAGAATCCTTCTGTCTTCATTTTATGTGAAGATGTTTCCTTTTTCACCACAGGTCTCAAATCCCTCCAAAAGTCCACTTCCAGATTCTACAAAAAGAGTTTTTCCAAACTGCTCTATGAAAGGAAATGTTCAACTCTGTGAGTTGAACGCAAATGTCAAAAGGAAGTTTTTGAGAATGCTTCTATCTAGTTTTTAAGCGAGGATATTCCCGTTTCCGGCCAAATCCATATAGCAATCCACATATCCACTTGCAGAGTCTACAAAAAGAGTGTTTCAAAACTCCTCTATCAAAAGAAACGTTCAACTCTGTGAGTTGAGTACACACATCACAAAGAAGTTTCTGAGAATTCTTCTGTCTAGTTTTTAAGGTAAGATATTTCCTTTTCCACCATAGGCCTCAAAGCGCTTCAAGTTTCCACCTACAGATTCTTCAGAAAGAGTGTTTCAAAACTGCTCTATGAAAACGAGGGTTTAACTCCGTGTGTTGAATGCAAGCATCACAAAGAAATTTCCGAGAATGCTTCTGTCTAGTTTTTATGTGAAGATATCCCCATTTTCAATGAAAGCCTCAAATCTATACAAATATCCACTTGCGGATTCTTCAAAAGGAGTGTTTCATAACTGCTGTATCAAAAGGAAGGTTCAACTCTGTGAGATGAGTACACACATCACAAAGAAGTTTCCGAGAATGCTTCTGTCTAGTTTTTATGGGAAGATATTCCCTTTTTCACCACAGGCCTCAAAAGCACTCCAAATGTCCACTTCCAGATACCACAAAAAGAGTGTTTCAAAAGTGCTCTATGAAAGGGAATGTTCAACTCGGTGAGTTGAATTCAAGCATCACAAAGTAATTTCTGAGAATGCTTCTGTCTAGTTTTTACGTGGAGATATTTCCATTTACAAGGAAATCCTCAAAACTATCAAAATATACACTTGCAGATTGTGCAAAAAGAGTGTCCCAAAACTGCTCTATAAAAAGAAAAGTTCAACTTTTTGAGTTTAGTACACACATCTAAAATAAGTTTCTGAGAATTCTTCTGTTTAGTTTTTATGGTAAGATATTTCCTTTTGCACCATAGGCCTCAAAACGCTCCAAGTTTCCACCTACAGATTTTTCAAAAAGAGTGTGTCAAAACTGATCTATGAAAAGGAATGTTCAACTCTGTGAGTTAAATGCAAGCATCACAAAGAAGTTTCTGAGAATGCTTCTGTCTACTTTTTATGTGAAGATATTCCCGTTTCCAACGAAAGCCTCAAAGTTATTCAAATATCCACTTGCAGATTCTACAAAAAGAGTGTTTCAAAACTGCTGTATCAAAAGAAAAGTTCAACTCTGTGAGCTGAGTACACACACGTCAAACAAGTTTCTGAGAATGCTTCTGTCTAATTTTTACGTGAAGATTTCGCCTTTTTCACCATAGGCCTCAAAGCGCTCCAAATGTCCACTTCCAGATACTACAAAGAGTGTTTCAAAACTGCTCTATGAAAGGGAATGTTCAACTCTATTTGTTGAATGCAAACTTCCCAGAGAAGTTTCTGAGAAAGCTTCTGTCTAGTTTTTATGAGAAGACATCCCCGTTTCCAAAGAAATCCTAAAAGGTATCCAAATATCCACTTGCAGACTTTACAAAAAGAGTGTTTCAAAACTGCTCCATCAAAAGAAAAGTTCAACGCTCTGAGTTGAGTACACACATCACAAAGAAGTTTCTGATAATTCTTCTGTATGGTTTTTATGGGAAGATACTTCATTTTTCACCTTAGACCTCAAAGCTCTCCAAGTTTCCAATTACAGATTCTACAAAAAGAGTGTTTCAAAACTGCTCTATGAAAAGGAATGTTCAACTCCGTTAGTTGAATGGAAACATCACAAAGAAGTTTCTGAGAATGCTTCTGTCTAGTTTTTACCTGAAGTTATTCTCGTTTCCAACGAAAGCCTCATAACTATCCAAGTATCCACTTGCAGATTTTACAAAAAAAGTGTTTCAAAACTGCTGTATCAAAAGAAAGGTTCAACTCTGTAAGTTGAGTACACACATCACAAAGAAGTTTCTTAGAATGCTTCTGTCTAGTTTTTATGTAAATATATTTCCTTTTTCAGCCTAGGCCTCAAAGCGCTCCAAGTTGCCACTTACAGATTCTTCAAAAAGAGGGTTTTAGAACAGTTCTATGAAAAGTAATGTTCAACTCTCTGAGTTCAATGCAAGCATCACAACGAAGTTTCTGAGAATGCTTCTGTCTAGTTTTTATGTGAAGATATTCCCGTTTCCAGTGAAATCCTCAATGATATATTAATATCTAATTGCACACTCTACAAAAAGAGTGTTTCAAAACTGCTCTATGAAAAGAAAAGGTCAACTCTGCGAGTTGAGTACACACATCACAAAGAAGTTTCTGGGAATTTTTCTGTCTATTTTTTATGGGAAGTTATTTCCAATTTCAACATAGGCCTCAAAGTGCTCTGAGTTTCCACTTACAGATACTTCAAAAAGAGTGTTTCAAAACTGCTCTATTAAAAGGATTTTTCAACTCTGTGAGTTGAATGCAAACATCACAAAGAAGTTTCTGAGAATGCTTCTGTCTAGTTTTTATGGGAAGATATTCCCGTTTCCAATGAAATCCTGAAATCTATCCAAATACCCACTTGCAGATTCTACAAAAAGAGTGTTTAAAAACTGCTGTATCAAAAGAAATGTTCAACTCTGTGAGTTAAGTACACATATCACAAAGAAGGTTTTGAGAATGCTT